>NC_000020.11:4157244-4308759 GCF_000001405.40 Homo sapiens | reverse complement strand
TCCAATTTCCAAAGGTCCCTGGAGAAGGTTGGCCAGCCTGGCAGGCCTCTCACCAAGGGAGAAGCAATCAGGACCAAACTGGAGTCAAGGGCTTGAGGGTATCACACAATGAGAAGGATCAAAGGAAGGATTGATTCACTAACTCAAAGAGGCATGGCCTCAGTAGTATGGGAGATGGCTGGGAGGTGAGTGATGTGATTACTTCCACAGTTTTCCAAACCTTCCCTCAAATTGCCAAGCTTTCCAAATGCTGTGTGTGATCAAATTTCCGTGGATGTGGACTTTGTGCCCAGTTTGTTGTTGGGAATTTGAAGAGATCAATAGGAAGTCTCTGGATTCTGAGGAGCCATAAAACTGGGGATTGTGGCCACATTTAGCCAGATATCCCCAGAGCAGGGCCCCTGCCTGCCAACATCAGAGTTCTAAGATATATTTACTCTCATATTTTATCTAGCTCTCTGATGCAGTTTGGATATTGGCCCCCCAAAATCTCATGTTGAAATGTAATCCCCAATGTTGGAGGTGGGGCCTGGTGGGAGGTGATTGGATCATGGAGGCGGAGTTCTCATGAACAGTTTAGTGCCATCCCCTTGGTGCTGTCCTCACCATCGTGAGTGAGTTCATGCAATATCTCGCTGTTTAAAAGTGAGTAGCACCTCCCTCCTCTCTCTTGCTCCTGCTTTCACCATGTGAGATGCTTGCTCCTGCTTCACCTTCTGCCATGAGTAAAAGCTCCTTGAGGTCTTCCCAGAAGCAGAGCAGGTGTTGGCGCCATGCTTCCTGTACAGCCTGCAGAATCATGAACTAATGAAATCTTTTTCTTTATAAATTATAAATTACCCAGCACTCGTAATGACTATGTGAATTTCATTCATTTCTTTACAAATTACCCAGACTCAGGTATTTCTTTATAGTAATGCAAGAATGGCCTAACACTGTCTCCTCACCAAACTGGTAGGCCTCTTGAGGACAGAGAAGGCTTTATACTTTTTTAGACCCTCAAGGACTTATACAATCTCCATACAGAGCCCTCCACCTGAACCTGATTGGATTAGATTAACTTGGATTTTATAACGTTTGTGGAAATTTTAGTTTGTAGTCCAGTTCCTTCATTAGGAGTTTCTCATTAGTTTGAAGTTTCCTAGAAGCAGATCCTGAGACAAGAATTAACATGCAAGTAGTTTATTTGGGAGATGATCTCAGAAAGCACAGGAAGGGTGTGGGAAAGGGAGACAGTACAGGGGCATGCGTGAGCACGGTGCCGCTTCAGACAATTGGAAGCTGAGTTCTGGGGGCAGTTGTCCCATAGGAGGGAGAGGAAGCTAGAGCATGTACACATGGATTCTCACCTGTCATTAGTTCTGGGATACTCCCTAGACTCTTAAGTCCAGGAACTCCAGCTTGGCCTGTACATGGGCCAAGAAAATTCAAAGAACGTCCTCAAACAGAGTCACAGGTGCTTGTAGGAGTGAGGGAATAGTGTACCAAGGGAATGGTGTATCAGGGCATCAAGAGCAACTGCTAAACGAATTTTCTTCCCCTCTTGTTTTTAAGTGATAAAGAAAATGCTGGCCCTACAGAATAACTAAAAGGAAGGTTGCATCAATTATTATTCTCTGTTTTTTTCCTTTTCCTTCTCCTTCTCCTCCTCCTCTTCCTCTTCCTTTTCCTCTTCCTCTTCTTCTTCTCTCTTGCCCTATACCATGCATCCCCCCTCCACTTTCCTTGGTGTTTGCCTTATGTCTGAGCAGCTTTTCATGTCTTCACGGATCAATGGCAACAAGGCCACCAATGCAATTTCAGCCTTACATCGTCTTCATCTTCAGCAATCCCAGAAGAAAGAGCTCTGCTTTCCCGAAAGCTTCAACAAATGTCTCATTGAACCAGCCTAAAATACTCACCTATGCCTGGTAGGGGCCATGGAGATGAAATAAGCTGATTTGAAAGTCTGGGAATATGTGCCCACCCCAGAGCCTCGGAGCTTGGAGTTAACTCCACAGTAACAACATAGGTAAGGCCAACAACAAAGAAAATTTAATAAAAAAAATCATACATCACAGTAATGCAAGAACTGCAACTACTAAACCAAGGCCCAACAAGAAGGGTTTTAACCAATGAATTCCTCAGCACACCTTCAGATTCCCCTTTAGCCAGTCCCAAGCAAAGCTTAATTGCTTCCATATTTCAGTCTATTAGAGATTGGAGTTGCATGGTCTCTCATTCTTACTAGTGCGTGAAGGCAGCTTCCCAGTTGGACCTAGATCATTTCTCTAGCATCTCCTTCTGTCTTCCCTGCTCTAGTTGGGAGGTGGCTGCCAAGAACCCAGCCTCCATTTTCACCAGCTCTTTCTCTTCTGGGAGTACCTTGGGCCAAATGTTCTTTGAGTCTTTGGCCTGTCTTACTGAACTCTTTCCAACTCCTGTTTAATTCCTTCAATGGGTAAAAGTGTTCCAGATTCAGGATGAACAGATGGATGCTTAAGAAATGAAATTCACATAGTCATTATGGGCACTTGATACTCATCGCAAGGTCAGTTTACAGAATCAGGCTTTAGGAGACCCCCTGCCCTACACAAGATTTGGGGGATCATGGCCCTCAGGGCTCCAGCTATGGGTAGGCTGCTCCTAGGGACCCACTTTCTCATTGCTGGTCTCCTTGAGGCAATGGCATCTGTTTCTGGAACATTTGACATTAGACGAATAGGTTAATCTAATGGCCAGAGTGGTAAAATAAGTCTATGACCAGAGTGAGGTGCCCCTGAGACCAGGAGGTCAGTCTAAGATGCTGTCAGAGTTCCATCCATGGCCCCAAGGGATGGGGAAAGATTTGGTTCATAACCAACAATCTAATTTCTCTCACTGGGAAGCAGATCAAGTACTGCAGCAGGACAGAAGTATGCAGATGTGGGTTTTGGCTGGTGGCAGTGGTACTTTTTCCCAATAGCCAAACCACTTTGTAGTAAACTTTCAAATCAAGGCACATCTTTTGGCAATGGTCAGTGCCTAACTAGTTTCAGGGTCTCTCCAAGTTCATTTCAGTCGCTCTCCTCTTTAGCCAAAGAGCTCTCCAGGCCCACTTGTCCCTTCCCTTGGCCTCAGGCCTACCTCCAAGTCCAGGACCTCAGGTGCACTTGGCCCTCTACATTCACTGGCTCCCAGCCCTCGTTATGGGCACTGTGAGCCCGAACCATCTCACCGTGCTCTGGAACCCTAAGCCCACTGGCTCTCATGTCAGGGTCATCCAGATTCATACACCAAAACAAAGACTTGAGTGCAATTTTAACTGGGGGCTAGAGGATAATGATAGCAGAAAACATCATGAGAGTATTGGAAATTGAAAAGGAAAGAGAAGGAGGCCAACAAAGAGGTGGGTTATCAAGCAAGTTACCACTGCAGGCAGCTGGAGCTTAACCCTCGCAGAGTACACTTCGGAGTTGCCTCGCCCGAGGGTGAGGAAGCTCATCCTTCACTGTCAGGTCTGTTTCCTTCTCAGTAGGTCTCAGCACTTGATTGCTCTGCACACAGGGCATACCAGCTCCCCAGCCAGAAAAGGGGCCCCCAGGCAGAGAATCACAATCGTTCATTGTAATCAGCTTTGGGTGCAGAGATGAATGCTGCAGAGATGTGGGCAGAGCACTCACAGCATCTGCTACAGTCCTCATGATCAATATCACCAACACCCATTATGCACTGAGGACTGATCAAGGACTCGGCCCCTATAAAGGGCTGTGCCATGGGGACAGGAATAAGACTCCGGCCCCAGTCTGGAGCAATTTGCTCCCATGAAGGATAGACAAAGCTCACACATGCAGCAAGAGTGAGACTCTATTGGATGACCAACAGTGCCTGGCCTAACAAGCGGCCCTTACAGACATTGGCTATAAGAGACCAAGGACGGGAAGGAAATCCAGTGGAGGTGCAACCACAACTGGGCCTTGAGTAATTTGCAGGAATTGGACAAGCTGCAGGAAAACAGTGGAACAGAGGCGCACTCTGCAAGAGTGAGGGGTGAGCAATGCCAAGGAGTGGGTTGAGCAGGCCGAGCCAGCGTACAGCTAGCTGAATGTAGGGCTGGCAAGACAAGTCTAAAACAATTTATTCCACAGCCAAATGTCATTAGCTCCCACTCCACACAGTGCTGAAAGCTTGGGTGTTGGTTTGATTAATTATGCATTCTGTTATAGTTGTAATTATTTACAGATTAGAGGGTAAAGAAGTATCAGGCAGTGATGGAATGGCAGGGATTCAGGAAGTTAGATCTGATGAAATAAGTGATGGGGAGCCAATGAAGCTTGTTGAGCAGGAGAGTGGCATGATGAAAGAGATTGTGATTTTGCCCCTGCCAGGAGGAAATAAAATATCTTCCAATGCCCTTTTATTCCTAGCAAGGCATCTCCTTCTTTCCCCCAGTGAGCACTCACAGTTGGTTCCCTCACCCCACCTCTGCATCTCTACCTGAGGCCAATATCTGACCATGAGGGACCTCCCCCAGCACAGGGCAGGCTGGAAGTGCCAGAAATTAACTCCTCGGTAGCAGCTCCCACCCAGAGAGGGCAGGAGCTGGTGGAAATGCCCCAGCTTCCTCACCCCTCCAGGGGTAGTCCTAAGGCCTGATCCATACATTCACTCCGAGGGCCCCAGCAGGACTGAGCCCTGGTTGCCCAGCTGCCCATTAATGCCATCTTCACCAGTTTTGCCTCCCTTCCCTGTACCACCTCCCCACTCCTTACAGGGACTCCTGGGCTTACCTCCCAAGGAAACTCCTTGGATCTAAACTGTTCTCTGCGTCAAGTAACTACGTAGTGTGCTATACAAAGATAACATGTGCATGAAGTCCAAATATGAGAACTGCCTGGGAGCAGAAATATTCAATAACCTCTCTTCTGGATCCAGGGAGGCTAGTTGGAGGGTTATTAGAGCAGGTTGATGGGGGCTGAAGACAGAACACTAAGAGAGGGAGTCGAATGTTTTCTCTTTTCTTTGATGCAGCAACACTGGTAAAAACAACTCAAATCCATTCATAAATCACTGTGTTAAGGGAAGAGTGTCTTAAAGTAGAACTTGTCCTGGGCACCAAACCAGTGTTAATTGAGGCAGAGCAAAAATTGCCAGACAGAGATGTAGCACCTGCCTCTTTTTTGTCTATGCTCAGACTCTGATCCTCCGTCCTGGCACCCATCACGGTTTCTGCAACCTGAGCAGTTCTCACACTATCTGCAGCCATGCTCCACTGTGCCCCACAGGCAATCAACATTTACCACCGTCTCCCCATGAATCCACACATGATGTTCTTGCGAGAGAAGGCCTGGAAGACAGGTCATCCTGGTCTGACCCGCTGCAACACCTTTGAAACAGAGGCTGACGGTGCCTGTCCACACTCTTATCTTGCCATTCCAACATCCCCATTGCTAGCTGCCAGTTGCCAGCACCCACCTCTCTGGCCACCAGAATCTGCTTTGCTGCCTGCAATATACGTTACAAGTGCCATATGCCCTGGGATCTACTCTCAACTAATGACTGCTAAGAATCGGTGGATAAATATGCAGCTCCCTCTTTGTTCAGATGGGATAGCTTTGAGGCATGTGCTCCACACCGTGTCCCAGGGTGTCCCCATCACACTGAGCCCGTGTTGCCCACATAGGAGTTGGACTGACATGTCCTTTGTAGACTGAATTCCTTTCCCTGCCTCACTTTCCCACTCCCCAGCCAGTGTGTCCTGGAATCACCTCTTAAGTAAAGTACTCGCACTCACACCCTGGCCTCAGTAACTGCTTCTTTAGGAGCCTAAGACAAGAGTGCTCAGGTCCCCTCTCTTCTCAAAGCTTCTAGTTCAGCGTATAATATCGCCTGTGCTCTCAAATGAAGGTGCACGAGACAAGATGAGGTTCAAATTCCTTAATGTGACATTCGCACTTGTATATTAGGAAAACAATCAAGATTGATTTGATGATGATAAGGGTAATACCATGTTCTGAAAGTTAAAAAGTCAATACATGTGGGAACATCATAGCTATTATTTCTGAAGAGTTTTGTACAGATCAGGAGTTTATTATTCTGATTTGATCTGTGTGCCTCCCCAATGGGACAGGATTTATCCCAACTGAAAGATGAGGATTCTGAGGTTGAAAGAGTTTAAGGAATTTGCATGAGGTCACCAAGAAAGTAATTGATGGAGCCAGGATTTAAATCCCATAGACCCCAAATTCTGTTCTCATATTCCTATGCACACTGCCTTTCTAAAAAAAATTTTTAAAGTATCATTTTTATGTCAGAGGATGGTTGTATCCTGAATTTGGAGAGAGTTGCCTTTTTCTACTTTCCTACCTTAAGAACACCTACTCACCTTCCACACTCAGCTCAGATTTCAATTCATCATGGAAGCATTCTCTGTCCCCCTCCTGGACCCCAGGCTGGGCTAAAATGCTCAGGGACCCCACTGGGAGCCACACATGTGCCCCAAACCAAACCCTACTGTGATTCCCCTTTACTTAGCTGCCTACCCCTCACCTCCCCAACCAACCCTGTGTCCCTAACCCTGGAGCAGAGCCTGCCTGACACATAGGACACAGAGTAACTCTCTCACAAAGGCTTCGGGGAGGTTCCCAGCCATATCTGCCAAAGGCCTGGGATGCCTCCAGACACCACATAGCAAGAGTAATAATAAAAATGTCTCAATAAACCAAGAACAAACTACCATGAACACACAGTGTCACCTTGCACATCTCAGTCAGGAGAAAAAGAGTAACAATCAGCCACAAGCCCCTTCTCTTTTCTGGGTCACAGTTTCTTCACCTGGTAGAAATGAGGGCATTGGTCTCAATGACTTCCAAAGCCCCCCACCTCTGGCAAGGAGTGATTCTAGGGATGTCCCAGCACCTCTGGACATCTCAGAGGGAGAAAATAGAGTGTAAGCTGTCTTTTTTACCCTCTAGGGACTTACACTGAAATTGGGACAGCAAGGCTCACAGACATGACCCAAAACAACAGTATAAGCCCAGCTGATTCCAACTAGAGGAAGTCAGAAAAAAAGAATAAAGCAGAGCCTTATCCCCCTTGAGATGGGGATTCCTGTGAATGTCATTTATTAGCAATGTTCCCAGAGTGGGGAAATGTAGGGGAGTAGGAAGGAAAGAAGGCCAGGCAAGGGTGTGAGATCAACCAAAGGGCCAGGAAGGGTAACTTTGAATCAGTACTGCAGGAGGTCTCATCCCAGATTCATCCTGATTAGGGACAGGGAAGCTGGGGTATTTATACCCTGACACTTGTCAGTCATTAGTTAAGAGCTGCCCCCAGGGTATAGATTCCTACATACTGTAATCTTTGTGCCCAAAGTGGGTTCCAACACAAAGGAGTCTGGGAAATGTGGATCTCTGTGGAGAGAAAAGGACAAGAAATGGATCTGTGAGCAAACCCATGACAGGCATGCCTAGTGCCTTAGGAGACTCAGTCTTACAGTCATAATGCTTGAGATATGCTTTCCAATTTCCACTTCATGTTTTTAGAAGGTAACTCAGGGTTATTCAAGGAGTACCCAGAATCTCCTGAATTTAGCTTGCATGTGTCTCCTGAATTGGCTGCATGTGGTTATGAGGCTCCAACATGGATGCCACCCTCTGAACAGGACAGCTGGCTCAGTCAGGTGGCGTCTGCCCAGAAACTGAGGCCCTGGAATTTTCCATTTGCTGAAGTCTCCAAGGCCTGGCATCTTATCACTGGAAAGGGGAACAAGATGATGCATTGCAAATAGAGGTGCAGCAAAAGAGCATGTTTGACTATTGAAGAAAAACCAAGTTAGGCTTCCCTTGTGGTGGCAGGAAAGTGAGCCTTGAGAAAACTTTTCTAAAAATTGTTAAAATCAAAGAAATACCTGGGTTTCCTCTAAGCTGTTTTGGAACATCAGTCTCCTGGATGCAAATCACTGTGGTGTCTCCACACTGGCAGCATCTGGGGGCAGAAGGGCTGGGGATGGGAGACAGGGAGCTGGAAGAGCCTCAGCAAACCCAGGACTGGTTGGAGACCATACAGGGAGCAAGGAAGAAGGGCCTTACTCACCTGCCATGCTGGCTGCCCTGAGCGGCCACATCTGCCGCAAATTGTATCTTGGAATTAAGCCCCACCTGCTAAGGAGTTAGCTGCAGAGAGTGGCAGCAGGGCACAAGTGAGGGGCAGGGAGTCCAAGCATGGCCACAGGGTCCCTGCTGGTGCCTTCAAGCAAATTTGGACCCCTTTTTTCACTCCCAGCTCTGGCTTGACCAAGGTTCTGGGCCACCTTTGGGGCATTTCTCCCACCTTCCATCACCTGAAGATCCTACCCTCAAGCCTGGGAGGCCCCAAAGCTGCCAACTCTTCTGCTACACATCCTCATCCAACCCAGCTCATTGGGAATTGGCCCAGACTTTAAGCAGCTCCTCCCTCATCCCCACCATTAAAATACAGTGGCTCAAGAGGCAGTAAGTTGTAAATTCTGTTACATTGGGATGTTAGGGAGTAATAATGTCTTTATATGTTCTTCTATCCTTGCTTGAGGATACAAGATCTAAATCAAGGAAAGAAGGTGTTAATGGCAAGACTTCAAGCATGTGACAGGCCAATGGAAGAGATATTTGGGAGTGAAGAGACCCCTCCGGAGTTATCAGTTAGCAGACCCAGTGGTTCTAGAACTCGAAGAGTATAGGAAGCACAGCTCCCATTTAAATCTACAAACTCTCTGGACACAGCACAGATGCTCCCCTGGGACTCAAGCCCATCAGGCTCTAGCTGCTGAATCAGACAACTCTACAATAGGAGGAGGCAGGATGAGTACCAGATGTTCAACATCTGTGCCAGCTGATTAACTGGTAATTAGTGTGAAAATTCCCTTTCCTCAGTTCTTAGTGAATTTTTATTGAGATTAAAATCAAGTCAAGGCCAGTTGCAAGAATCTCTCTTTATAAACACAGAGAAGGCAAGTGCCTCTAAGTGCACAGCCAGAAAAAATTATCTTCATATTCTGCTTGCAAGAGCCAAATGAATGCCTGCATTCTGCGTGCTTCTTTATTCAGAAGAAAAGGGCAGAGATAAGCTATATTTTGACTCCTAAGCCATGACTTTAAAAGAGGACCGGAAATCAGGCAATGAAGCCCTATGGACTAGTTCAGGATGACTGATATCACTGCCTGGTCTCTATAACCAACAGAGTCACCAAGGTGAGGGACCTCCCTCAGCCCACCACCACATCCTGATAATGGTGGTCTCCCTGTTCATCATTACCACCCCTGTGAGTTTTACCATCTTCTTTCTCTTCATAATGACCATCATGATCATCATCATCATCATCATCATCATCATCACCAAAGACATCAGTCATCTCCCTCATTCCACTCAACATTGAAGTTTGGCTCAATGTCAACTCTACTGGGGAACTTTCCCAGCCCATCTTTTCAGGCAAGGTTGGTTGCTCCAAAATGGCATGCTCCTGGAGGGGCTATTTGTGGGTATGTTTCTCCCACCAGGCTGTGAGCTTCTCAAGCACGAAAACTTATTTTCAATCTTTGTCTCCCTAGCACCCAGAAAGTGCCTAGAATATGGTAGGTTTACAATATCTACTTACAGAATAAAAGATTGAGTGAGAAGACATGTCAATAGCTTGGATCTCAGTTCTGCCTCTGAATCCCATTTGCCCCAACTACACAGCTCTAAACAAACCCATTCCTTCCTCCCCATGAGCTCAACTACACCTGCGGTCTTCAGACAAACCATTGTGTCTATGTTCTCTCTCTGGAAGTGGACAGTCGAAGGTATGGTGTGTCTGGATTATTGGAGGAGAAAGCGAATCTGTGGGAGATATTTGAGAATAAACACCAATAAGGCTTGGTAGCAGACTGGATAGAGAAAATAAAGATGAGGGAGGAGCCAGGTGACCAGAAGGCTGCTGCTGACAAAGACAGGTGCACAGTCAAAAGGAGACCCAAAGACAGAGCAGGGAGTTCAGTTGAGAGAAAAATTGACTTTGGGAGGTCAGCAGTGCTCAAGGGGAGAGTTCCAACAGGTCAGTGAAAATACAAGACTTCTGAAAAGAGAGGGTTGGGAAGGAAATGATGGTAGTCACCCAAGTCCTGGGGAGTCACACCAGAGTGGCTGTGCATTGTCACCAAGAGGGCACTGATCAAAGGGACTGTGACAATGATTCTGCAAGACAAGGGTGGGAGAGAGGACTGAGTCAGAGAGGGGCTGGGCTCCAGCCCCTCAGAACTCCAGGACACAAGTGGTACGTCCAGAGCTGGGCATGTGGAATTTGTAGTCACCCACAAATTGATAAAAATTGAGAGCATGAAATATTATCCATGTGAGAGTTCTAAGGACAAAAGGGTGGGCGGAGGAGAGCAGCTGGCCTACAGTGGGCTTTGGGAGCACCACCATACATTGGGGGAAGATGCATGGAGGTAAGGATCCCAAGAATAAGTCGATAGAGCAGTGCCATGTTAGAGCCTGAGGCAGAAGGAAAAAATTACTATGCTGATCCTGTCTTAAATTTTTAATATTTTACTTATGAATTTCTGTATTGATTTTGATTTTTTAAAATATTCTATTAAAATATTATTTATCTTGAGAGACAAGATAGAATACAACAGTTGAGCAATATCCTTCTCAAGAAAAGGAGACAGAGGCAGCTGAACCAACAGACCCAGTCCAAGCACTGGGTCCAAACATCTCAGATTCAAATCCTGGCTCTGGCACCTTTCAGATGTGCAATCTTAGGCCAGTCACTTCCCTTCCCGAACCGTGGTGTCCTCACCTGAAAATGAACACCTTCCTGGCAAAGTTGTCACAATGCCTGCTCAATATAGGTGATTCCTAAAGATCTGCCCCGACCCCTGAGTCCTGAAGGCAGCAAGGAAGAAAACTGAAAAAACTGAACAAGGAGAAAAAGTCAGGAGAGGGAAGTGAGGCAGATACAGCCAGGAAACCAGGCTCCTCTCCACATGGGACAGACGGATAGATCCGAACAGGACTGGGGTGCTCCCTCCGCTGTCCGCATTTTACATATTACACTACACTCTATTTTTTTAACATCTGTGACTTCCTTCCGTTTGTGTAGGGGATGGGGAAATCTAAACCTTTGTTTCCCACAAGGCGGGAAAAGCCTCGTGATCAGAGGAGGCTGGAGCCCAGTCCCTCTCTGACTCAGCCCTTTCTCCCACCCTTGTATTGTAGAATCATTGTCACAGTCCCTTTGATCAGCGCCCCTTGGTGACAACGCACAGCCACTCTGGCAACTGGGGAGAAGCCAGTGGGGGAGGGTGACTGCCATCACTTCCTTCCCACCCCCCTCTTTCTAGAAGCCTGGAACTCAGCAGCATGTTTTCCCTGGTGGAAAATGTCCATGTTTGGTGTCTGCCCAAAGGAGAATCTCTATGGAAAGTTTGAGAAAGATTCCCTCTGGCTGGGAATGTGAAAAAAGTCTGTGCCTTTCCCAATTGGAAAAAGAGGAGAGAACATACTTGAGACGTGGTTATTTTTGTCTCAGATTCAAAAGGAGCTGACTTGGACAGTGCTCACTTGGCCTCGATTCCCATCGTCTTGCTTGTAAAGGCGATGGAATGAGGCGCACAGAGGTGACGCTGACCCCAAAATGCTTACGTCTCTTCTCAAGAATTTTTTGTTACACTTTCATTAGGTATATCTTACAAACAATAAAATGCAAAAATCTCAAGAATTTTGTGTGTGCAGCTTGATGCATTTTTACATAGGTGCATAACCATATAATTCCCACCCAAATCAAGACATAAAACATTTCCAGTACCCCAGAAGGCTCCCCTGTGCCCCTTCCCAGTCAATACTCATCCCCCAAGGCTAACGAAATTAGCTTTGCCAGCTCTTAAATGTCATATAAATGGAATCCTGCAGTATGTGTGTGTGTGTTTTTGGTTTGTGTTTGTTTGTTTGTTTGTTTGTTTTTGTTTTGAGATGGAGTCTCACTCTATCATCCAGGTTGGAGTGCAGTGGCATGATCTCTGCTTACTGCAACCTCCGCCTCCCGGGTTCCAGTGATTCTCCTCCCTCAGCCTCCCAAGTAGCTGTGATTATAGGTGTGCACCACCACACCAAGCTAATTTTCGTATTTTTAGTAGAGACGGGTTTTCACCATGTTGGCCAGGATGGTCTTGAACCCCTGACCTCAGGTGATCCACCTGCCTCAACCTCCCAAAGTGCTGGGATTCTTTTCACTCTACATAGTGTCTACGAGATTCATCCATATTGCTGCATATTATATTTGTTTGTTCAGGCTGCCATAACAAAGCACCATAGACGGGGTGGCTTAAACAACAGAAATTTATTTCCCCACAGTTCTGGAGACCAAAGCTCTGAACTTTTGGTAGATTGCATTTCTTCTGGGGCCTCTTTCTTTGGCTTGTAGATGGCCGCCTTCTCCCTGTATCTTCACATGGTCTTCCCTTTGTGTGTCTGTGCCCTAAGCACTTCTTCTTAGCAGGATACCAGTCATACTGGATTAGTGCCTGCCCTAATGACCTCATGTAATTTAATTACATATTTAAAGACCCTATCTCCAAATACAGTTGTATTCTGACATACTAGCAGTTAGGGCTTTAACGTATGAATTTGGAAGAGGGACACGATTCAGCCCATAACATGATAATACTAGTTTGTTCTTTTCTTACTACTGAATTGTATTCCACTGTATGACCCTACAACAAGTTATTTATTTGTTCTCTTATCAATATGCATTCAATCATTTACAGTTTGGGACTATTGCATATATTGCTGCTATCAACATCTCTAGAACATGTTTTTATTGAACATACATATTCATGTCCTGGGCATGTACTCCCAGGAGTGGAGTTGCTGCATCATGAGGTAGGGGTCTGTGTAGTTTTTGTAGACACTGCCAGTTTTCCTGTGTAGTTTTCCAACGTAGCTGTATGCTCCTATGAGCTACATATGAGAGGTCTGGTTGCTCCACACCTTTGCTAACACTAGTATTTTCACTGTCTTTTATTTTAGCCTCTCAAATAATCTTAAAGATGGTTTTAAAGCAAGTCCATCTGCAAAATCTACACTCCTCATACAGCATTTGCTATATACATCCATGGATAACCCCAATTTCCTTTGTGCCAAGAACTCTGGCATCTCCCTCCAACCCACTCCTGATCAGGGAGGAAAATCCCTATCTTGGGATTTTTAGTGGGAAGGCTCTGCGGGTGGGACAGGCACAGCATGAGGACCTGGGGAAGCCCAGGGCCAGGAAGGAAGTAACTGACTGAGGAGCTAGGAGGACAGGAGAGAGCCAGGTCAGGATGCAGTTGAAAGAGTCGTTGCTGGACACCTGGGGAAGGAAGGCCACAATTGAACCTGTCATAAAGAGCTTTACAGGAGCCCCTGGAAGTTGTCTGATGATTCCTTTCTGACAGTTCTGGCCAGCCTTTGACGAGAAGGAAATCCTCGGAGTCCCTGGTGTCTGGGCACCGACAATCAGTTTTCAGAGCAGACTCTTCAAAACATCATCATCCTGAAGGTCATGGATTTAGAACAGACCCTCTACTCCCCAATTTCCTCTCCTACCGTGCCTGCCCTAGTGCTGGAAACCCCACACACACTGTCATTCCCCCAGGTTATGACATTTTCTGGTATCTTCAAATCTCCAAAGAGTGTCTGTGTCTAACAGGAACAGGAAGATGATCATGACTTATCCAGGCCCCCAGGTGCAAATCCAGTTTCTCAGAGCCAGCAGCAGAGGGGCCTATTTGGAAAAAAATATAAAGTAAATCTTATCTTACTCCTTACACAAGATAAAATCAATTAGAAGCAAATGTTTAAGTGGAATTTAAAAACCATAAAAGTATGAGAAGGGAAGAATTGGTAAATGTATTTGTAATCCTGGAGGGCAAAGTCCTTTCTAAGATAAAAAACCCAGAAGCCATAAGGAAATAATTGATACCTACAACCACATAAAAATTAAGTCCTTTTAGAGGAGCTGGTACCATTCCTTCTGAAACTATTCCAATCAATAGAAAAAGAGGGAATCCTCCCTAACTCATTTTATGAGGCCAGCATCATCCTGATACCAAAGCCTGGCAGAGACACAACCAAAAAAGAGGATTTTAGACCAATATCCTTGATAAGCATCGATGCAAAAATCCTCAATAAAATACTGGCAAACCGAATCCAGCAACACAGTAAAAAGCTTATCCACCATAATCAAGTGGGCTTCATCCCTGGGATACAAGGCTGGTTCAACATATGCAAATCAATAAACGTAATCCAGCATATAAACAGAACCAAAGACAAAAACCACATGATTATCTCAATAGATGCAGAAAAGGCCTTTGATAAAATTCAACAGCCCTTCATGCTAAAAACTCTCAATAAATTAGGTATTGATGGGATGTATCTCAAAATAATAAGAGCTATCTATGACAAACCCACAGCCAATATCATACTGAATGGGCAAAAACTGGAAGCATTCCCTTTGAAAACTGGCACAAGACAGGGATGCCCTCTCTCACCACTCCTATTCAACATAGTGTTGGAAGTTCTGGCCAGGGCAATTAGGCAGGAGAAGGAAATAAAGGGTATTCAATTAGGAAAAGAGGAAGTCACATTGTCCCTGTTTGCAGACGACATGATTGTATATTTAGAAAACCCCATCGTCTCAGCCCAAAATCTCCTTAAGCTGATAAGCAACTTCAGCAAACTCTCAGGATACAAAATCAATGTACAAAAATCACAAGCATTCTTATACACCAATAACAGACAAACAGAGAGCCAAATTATGAGTGAACTCCCATTCACAATTGATTCAAAGAGAATAAAATACCTAGGAATCCAACTTACAAGGGATGTGAAGGACTTCTTCAAGGAGAACAACAAACCACTGCTCAAGGAAATAAAAGAGGATACAAACAAATGGAAGAACATTCCATGCTCATGAGTAGGAAGAATCAATATCGTGAAAATGGCCATACTGCCCAAGGTAATTTATAGATTCAATGCCATCCCCATCAAGCTACCAATGACTTTCTTCATAGAATTGGAAAAAACTACTTTAAAGTTCATATGGAACCAAAAAAGAGCCTGCATTGCCAAGTCAACCCTAAGCCAAAAGAACAAATCTGGAGGCATCACACTACCTGACTTCAAACTATACTACAATGCTACAGCAACCAAAACAGCATGGTACTGGTACCAAAACAGAGATATAGACCAATGGAACAGAACAGAGCCCTCAGAAATAATGCCACACATCTACAACTATCTGATCTTTGACAAATCTGACAAAAACAAGAAATGAGGAAAGGATTCCCTATTTAATAAATGGTGCTGGGAAAACTGGCTAGCCATATGTAGAAAGCTGAAACTGGATCCCTTCCTTACACCTTATACAAAAATTAATTCAAGATGGATTAAAGACTTAAATGTTAGACCTAAAACCATAAAAACCCTAGAAGAAAACCTAGGCAATACCATTCAGGACATAGGCGTGGGCAAGGACTTCATGTCTAAAACACCAGAAGCAATGGCAACAAAAGCCAAAATTGACCGATGGGATCTAATTAAACTAAAGAGCTTCTGCACAGCAAAAGAAACTACCATCAGAGTGGACAGGCAACCTACAGAATGGGAGAAAATTTTTGCAATCTACTCATCTGACAAAGGGCTAATATCCAGAATCTACAATGAACTCAAACAAATTTACAAGAAAAAAAACAAATGATCCCATCAAAAAGTGGACAAAGGATATGAACAGACACTTCTCAAAAGAAGACATTTATGCAGCCAACAGACACATGAAAAAATGTTCATCATCACTGGCCATCAGAGAAATGCAAATCAAAACCACAATGAGATACCATCTCACACCAGTTAGAATGGCTATCATTAAAAAGTCAGGAAACAACAGGTGCTGGAGAGGATGTGGAGAAATAGGAACACTTTTACACTGTTGGTGGGACTGTACTAGTTCAACCCTTGTGGAAGTCAGTGTGGCGATTCCTCAGGGATCTAGAACTAGAAATACCATTTGACCCAGCCATCCCATTACTGGGTATATACCCAAAGGATTATAAATCATGCTGCTATAAAGACACATGCACACGTATGTTTATAGCCGCACTATTCACAATAGCAAAGACTTGGAACCAACCCAAATGTCCAACAATGATAGACTGGATTAAGAAAATGTGGCACATATACACCATGGAATACTATGCAGCCATAAAAAATGATGAGTTCATGTCCTTTGTAGGGACATGGATGAGGCTGGAAATCATCATTCTCAGCAAACTATCGCAAGGACAAAAAACCAAGCACCGCATGTTCTCACTCATAGGTGGGAATTGAACAATGAGAACACATGGACACAGGAAGGAGAATATCACACACTGGGGCCTGTTGTGGGGTGGGGGGAGGGGGGAAGGATAGCATTAGGAGATATACCTAATGTAAATGACGAGTTAATGGGTGCAGCACACCAACATGGCACATGTATACATATGTAATAAACCTGCACGTTGTGCACATGAACCCTAAAACTTAAAGTATAATAAAAAAATTAAGTCCTTTTGAGGGATGAGAAATACTACTAAGAAAGCCAAAAGATGAACAGGAAACAGGGGTGGTAAAATTTGCAACACATATGTCAAAGGATTAACCTTCCAAATTCACAAAAAAAACCTGCACAAAGCTGAAGGAGACTACCAATTCTATGGGGGAAAAAATGGAGAAGAGGGTAAGAACAGAAGGTTATAATGCAAATGTCCTGTATACATAAGACCTCCTTAATAATAAATAAATCAATGCAAATTAAAACAAGAAGATACCTTTCCAAAAACTAATTGTACTATCAGGAATATAAATAGTTAATAGGAGCCATTGCAACGACAGTCTAGGGAAATAGGCATCTGTGCACTATTAGTGAATATATATATATTGATAGAATCCTTCTGGAAGATAATTTGGCAACACCACTAAGTTTTATAATTTATACAGCATTAGATCCAGCAGTTCCACAGTTAGCAATTTAACCTCCACACATACTGACAAGAAGTATCTGATATATATGTTCAAAATGTTGATGACAGCTCTGCTTTGTGGTAGCAAAAAAAAAACAGAAGCAATTCAAATTTTAACTAATAAGGAAGTGGGCAATAAATTGTGGTACATGTATTGTAACGGAATACTATATGCCTGCAAAAAAGAAAAGAATTAGGCAGACTTCTAAGTAATGATATAAATAAATCTCCAAGATATATTAAAGAATACAATTCACTGAAAAATGAGTGAGACTTCATATAAATAAAAACCCCAAGAGTATAACAGAAATCGTTTTATCTACAAACACTCAAGACACCTCAGTAACAGTGGCTTAAACAATAAAGATATTTAATCATCTCTCATAACAAGAAACTTAGAGATTGGGAACATTGGTAACGAAATCATCAAGGACCTATCTTTCTGCTCATGATCGTCTTCCGGTTCCTTTTAGACACAGACACTCTTTGGAGGTTCAAAGATACCAAAAAATGTCATAACCCGGGGCAATGACAGTCTGTGGGAGGTTTCCAGCATTAGGGCAGGCAGGGTAGGGGAGGAACTAGAGGAGTAGAGGGTCTGTTCTAAATCCACGACCTGCTCAGAGGATCACATGCTCTTATAAGATGGCTGCCTCTACTGCAGGCACCATATCCATATTCAAGGAAAGAAAAAGGTGGGGCCGGGCACGGTGGCTCATGCCTGTAGTCCCAGCACTTTGGGAGGCCGAGGCAGGTGGATCACGAGGTCAGCAGATCGAGACCATCCTGGATAACACAGTGAAACCCCATCTCTACTAAAAATACAAAAAATTAGCTGGGCGAGGTGGCAGGCGCCTGTAGTCCCAGCTACTCAGGAGGCTGAGGCAGGAGAATGGCGTGAATCCAGGAGGTGGAGCTTGCAGTGAGCCGAGATCATGCCACTGCACTCCAGCCTGGGCGACAGAGTGAGACTCCGTCTCAAAAAAAAAAAAAAAAGGTGGAAGATCTAATACCAATGACCACTCTTCACATGCCCATCTCTTTCATTTCATTGGTCAGAACTGTGTTCTTGACCACCCCCACCGCCATCTAGCTGCAAGAGTTTCTGGGAAAGTATTAGGAAAAAAAAAAAAAGGAATCCATTACCATGATTGGCTTAACCAATCATGATTTGTCTTCAGAGCCTGGGCACTTTGCCACTCTAAACAAACTCCTCAACAGGGTTTATCTGGGTGCTAGCCCATGTTTTGTTAGAATTACAATAAATTAATTTAAGCCTAATTGTAAAAATATTTCAAATGAATGGGCGAATGAACTGTCAACACACTAGGGGTTTGGCCATCTAGTTGGCTTTACTGAGAGCCAAGGATAGATAATAACTTATGTTAGTGACCTCAGGTGGGGCAACTTAGAAGTTCTGCCACCAGAGAAGATGGAAAAGCAATTCTCTGGTCTGCTTTAAGCTCCTATATCACTTCCAAAGGACTACCAAGTGGACCCAAAATTTAACAATAGCCCTGTCTTTTTTGAGTACATAAGTACATCAAGACCTGGGTCCAGGTCTCCTCCTTCTGGAGGCTGGGGCTTCCACTAGGGCCCAGGTGGGTTGCCCTGTGCGTGGTGCTGACCGCCTCAGGTGATTTTTTTTTTTTTTTAACTTAGCCCCAGCTACTGACTGGCGTCCCCTGCTGGAGAAAGAAGTGATCTCACAAAACGCGCTGAACGGGCAGGATCTGGGGCTCTTGCTGGGCTCCCACTCTTTCTAGCAAGTCTCTTCACTTTAATGGAACTCTGCTCCCTCATTTGTAAAGTGAGTCAGGGGATCCATAAACTGAAAGGCCCTTTCCAGGTCTCCAAGAAAGTACTTCCGAGGGAGGGCAGCCAAGATGGCCAAATAGGAACAGCTCCGGTCTACAGCTCCCAGCGTGAGCGACGCAGAAGACGGGTGATTTCTGCATTTCCATCTGAGGTACCGGGTTCATCTCACTAGGGGGTGCCAGACAGTGGGCACAGGACAGTGGGTGCAGCGCACCGTGCACGAGCCGAAGCAGGGTGAGGCATTGCCTCACTCGGGAAGCACAAGGGGTCAGGGAGTTCCCTTTCCTAGTCAAAGAAAGGGGTGACAGACAGCACTTGGAAAATCGGGTCACTCCCACCCTAATACTGCACTTTTCCCACGGGCTTAAAAAACAGCACACCAGGAGATTATATCCCGCACATGGCTTGGAGGGTCCTACGCCCACGGAGTCTCGCTGATTGCTAGCACAGCAGTCTGAGATCAAACTGCAAGGCGGCAGTGAGGCTGGGGGAGGGGTGCCCGCCATTGCCCAGGCTTGCTTAGGTAAACAAAGCAGCCAGGAAGCTCGAACTGGGTGGAGCCCACCACAGCTCAAGGAGGCCTGCCTGCCTCTGTAGGCTCCACCTCTGGGGGCAGGGCACAGACAAACAAAAAGACAGCAGTAACCTCTGCAGACTTAAATGTCCCTGTCTGACAGCTTGGAAGAGAGCAGTGGTTCTCCCAGCACGCAGCTGGAGATCTGAGAACGGGCAGACTGCCTCCTCAAGTGGGTCCCTGACCCCTGACCCCCGAGCAGCCTAACTGGGAGGCACCCCCCAGTAGGGGCAGACTGACACCTCACATGGCCGGGTACTCCTCTGAGACAAAACTTCCAGAGGAATGATCAGACAGCAACATTCGTGGTTCACGAAAATCCACTGTTCTGCAGCCACCGCTGCTGTTACCCAGGTAAACGGTCAGGAGTGGACCTCTAGCAAACTCCAACAGACCTGCAGCTGAGGGTCCTGTCTGTTAGAAGGAAAACTAACAAACAGAAAGGACATCCACACCAAAAACTCATCTGTACATCACCATCATCAAAGACCAAAAGTAGATAAAACCACAAAGATGGGGAAAAAACAGAGCAGAAAAACTGGAAACTCTAAAAAGCAGAGCGCCTCTCCTCCTCCAAAGGAATGCAGTTCCTCACCAGCAACGGAACAAAGCTGGATGGAGAATGACTTTGACGAGTTGAGAGGAGGCTTCAGACGCTCAAACGACTCTGAGCTACAGGAGGAAATTCAAACCAAAGGCAAAGAAGTTAAAAACTTTGAAAAAAATTTAGATGAATGTATAACTAGAATAACCAATACACAGAAGTGCTTAAAGGAGCTGATGGAGCTGAAAGCCAAGGCTCAAGAACTATGTGAAGAATGCAGAAGCCTCATCAGGAGCCGATGTGATCAACTGGAAGAAAGGGTATCAGTGATGGAAGATGAAATGAATGAAATGAAGTGAGAAGGGAAGTTTAGAGAAAAAATAATAAAAAGAAAAGAACAAAGCCTCCAAGAAATATGGGACTATGTGAAAAGACCAAATCTACGTCTGATTGGTGTACCTGAAAGTGACGGGGAGAATGGAACCAAGTTGGCAAACACTCTGCAGGATATTATCCAGGAGAACTTCCCCAATCTGGCAAGGCAGGCCAACATTCAGATTCAGGAAATACAGAGAATGCCATAAAGATACTCCTCAAGAAGAGCAACTCCAAGACACATAATTGTCAGATTCACTACAGTTGAAATGAAGGAAAAAATGTTAAGGGCAGCCAGAGAGAAAGGTTGGGTTACCCACAAAGGGAAGCCCATCAGACTAACAGCGTATCTCTTGGCAGAAACTCTACAAGCCAGAAGAGAGTGGGGGCCAATATTCAACATTCTTAAAGAAAAGAATTGTCAACCCAGAATTTCATATCCAGCCAAACTAAGTTTCGTAAGTGAAGGAGAAATAAAATACTTTACAGACAAGCAAATGCTGAGAGATTTTGTCACCACCAGGCCTGCCCTAAAAGAGCTCCTGAAGGAAGCACTAAACATGGAAAGGAACAACCGGTACCAGCCACTGCAAAATCATGCCAAATTGTAAAGACCATCGAGGCTAGGAAGAAACTGCATCAACTAACGAGCAAAATAACCAGCTAACATCATAATGACAGGATCAAATTCACACATAACAATATTAACTTTAAATGTAAATGGACTAAATGCTCCAATTAAAAGACACAGACTGGTAAATTGGATAAAAAGTCAAGAACCATCAGTGTGCTGTATTCAGGAAACCCATCTCACATGCAGAGACACACATAGGCTCAAAATAAAAGGATGGAGGAAGATCTACCAAGCAAATGGAAAACAAAAAAAGGCAGGGGTGGCAATCCTAGTCTCTGATAAAACAGACTTTAAACCAACAAAGATCAAGAGACAAAGAGGCCATTACATAATGGGAAAGGGATCAATTCAACAAGAAGAGCTAACTATCCTAAATATATATGCACCCAATACAGGAGCACCCAGATTCATAAAGCAAGTCCTGAGTGACCTACAAAGAGATTTAGACTCCCACACAATAATAATGGGAGACTTTAACACCCCACTGTCAACATTAGACAGATCAACGAGACAGAAAGTTAACAAGGATACCCAGGAATTGAACTCAGCTCTGCACCAAGCAGACCTAATAGACATCTACAGAACTCTCTACCCCAAATCAACAGAATATACATTTTTTTCAGCACCATACCACACATATTCCAAAATTGACCACATAGTTGGAAGTAAAGCTCTCCTCAGCAAATGTAAAAGAACAGAAATTATAACAAACTGTCTCTCAGACCACAGTGCAATCAAACTAGAACTCAGGATTAAGAAACTCACTCAAAACCACTCAACTACATGGAAACTGAACAACCTGCTCCTGAATGACTACTGGGTACATAACGAAATGAAGGCAGAAATAAAGATGTTCTTTGAAACCAACGAGAACAAAGACACAACATACCAGAATCTCTGGGACACATTCAAAGCAGTGTGTAGAGGGAAATTTATAGCACTAAATGCCCACAAGAGAAAGCAGGAAAGATCCAAAATTGACACCCTAACATCACAATTAAAAGAACTAGAAAAGCAAGAGCAAACACATTCAAAAGCTAGCAGAAGGCAAGAAATAACTAAAATCAGGGCAGAACTGAAGGAAATAGAGACACAAAAAAGCCTTCAAAAAATTAATGAATCCAGGAGCTGGTTTTTTGAAAGGATCAACAAAATAGATAGACCGCTAGCAAGACTAATAAAGAAGAAAAGAGAGAAGAATCAAATAGACACAATAAAAAATGATAAAGGGGATATCACCACCAATCCCACAGAAGTACAAACTACCATCAGAGAATACTACAAACACCTCTATGCAAATAAAATAGAAAATCTAGAAGAAATGGATAAATTCCTCGACACATACACCCTCCCAAGACTAAACCAGGAAGAAGTTGAATCTCTGAATAGACCAATAACAGGCTCTGACATTGTGGCAATAATCAATAGCTTACCAACCAAAAAGAGTCCAGGACCAGCTGGATTCACAGCCGAATTCTACCAGAGGTACAAGGAGGAACTGGTACCATTCCTTCTGAAACTATTCCAATCAATAGAAAAAGAGAGAATCCTCCCTAACTCATTTTATGAGGCCAGCATCATCCTGATACCAAAGCCGGGCAGAGACACAACCAAAAAAGAGAATTTTAGACCAATATCCTTGATGAACATCGATGCAAAAATCCTCAATAAAATACTGGCAAACCGAATCCGGCAGCACATCAAAAAGCTTATCCACCATGATCAAGTGGGCCTCATCCCTGGGATGCAAGGCTGATTCAATATATGCAAATCAATTAATGTAATCCAGCATATAAACAGAACCAAAGACAAAAACCACATGATTATCTCAATAGATGCAGAAAAGGCCTTTGATAAAATTCAACAACACTTCATGCTAAAAACTCTCAATAAATTAGGTATTGATGGGATGTATCTCAAAATAAAAAGAGCTATCTATGACAAACCCACAGCCAATATCATACTGAATGGGCAAAAACTGGACGCATTCCCTTTGAAAACTGGCACAAGACAGGGATGCCCTCTCTCACCACTCCTATTCAACATGGTGTTGGAAGTTCTGGCCAGGGAAATTAGGCAGGAGAAGGAAATAAAGGGTATTCAATTAGGAAAAGAGGAAGTCACATTGTCCCTGTTTGCAGATGACATAATTGTATATCTAGAAAACCCCATCGTCTCAGCCCAAAATCTCCTTAAGCTGATAAGCAACTTCAGCAAAGTCTCAGGATACAAAATCAATGTACAAAAATCACAAGCATTCTTATACACCAATAACAGACAAACAGAGTGCCAAATCATGAGTGAACTCCCATTCACAATTGCTTCAAAGAGAATAAAATACCTAGGAATCCAA
The DNA here is from genome assembly GCF_000001405.40 of Homo sapiens. Classification (NCBI taxonomy): domain Eukaryota; kingdom Metazoa; phylum Chordata; class Mammalia; order Primates; family Hominidae; genus Homo; species Homo sapiens. Next base: position 4,285,452 of record NC_000020.11, on the reverse strand, counting down.
CTTACAAGGGACGTGAAGGACCTCTTCAAGGAGAACTACAAACCACTGCTCAAGGAAATAAAAGAGGATACAAACAAATGGAAGAACATTCCATGCTCCTAGGTAGGAAGAATCAATATCATGAAAATGGCCATACTGCCCAAGGTAATTTATAGATTCAATGCCATCCCCATCAAGCTACCAATGACTTTCTTCATAGAATTGGAAAAAAGTATTTTAAAGTTCATATGGAACCAAAAAAGAGCCTGCATCGCCAAGTCAATCCTAAGCCAAAAGAACAAAGCTGGAGGCATCACGCTACCTGACTTCAAACTATACTACAAGGCTACAGTGACCAAAACAGCATGGTACTGGTACCAAAACAGAGATATAGATCAATGGAACAGAACAGAGCCCTCACAAATAACACCACATATCTACAACTATCTGATCTTTGACAAACCTGAGAAAAACAAGCAATGGGGAAAGGATTCCCTATTTAATAAATGGTGCTGGGAAAACTGGCTAGCCATATGGAGAAAGCTGAAACTGGATCCCTTCCTTACACCTTACACAAAAATTAATTCAAGATGGATTAAAGACTTAAACGTTAGACCTAAAACCATAAAAACCCTAGAAGAAAACCTAGGCATTACCATTCAGGACATAGGCATGGGCAAGGACTTCATGTCTAAAACACCAAAAGCAATGGCAACAAAAGCCAAAATTGACAAATGGGATATAATTAAACTAAAGCACTTCCGCACAGCAAAAGAAACTACTATCAGAGTGAACAGACACCCTACAAAATGGGAGAAAATTTTCGCAACCTACTCATCTGACAAAGGGCTAATATCCAGAATCTACAAAGAACTCAAACAAATTTACAAGAAAAAAACAAACAACCCCATCAAAAAGTGGGCAAAGGACATAAACAGACACTTCTCAAAAGAAGACACTTATGCAGCCAAAAAACACATGAAAAAATGCTCACCATCACTGGCCATCAGAGAAATGCAAATCAAAACCACAATGAGATACCATCTCACACCAGTTAGAATGGCAATCATTAAAAAGTCAGGAAAAAACAGGTGCTGGAGAGGATGTGGAGAAATAGGAACACTTTTACACTGTTGGTGGGACTGTAAACTAGTTCAACCCTTGTGGAAGTCAGTGTGGCGATTCCTCAGGGATCTAGAACTAGAAATACCATTTGACCCAGCCATCCCATTACTGGGTATATACCCAAAGGATTATAAATCATGCTGCTATAAAGACACGTGCACACGTATGTTTATAGCGGCACTATTCACAATAGCAAAGACTTGGAACCAACCCAAATGTCCAACAATGATAGACTGGATTAAGAAAATGTGGCACATATACACCATGGAATACTATGCAGCCATAAGAAATGATGAGTTCATGTCCTTTGTAGGGACATGGATGAAATTGGAAATCATCATTCTCAGTAAACTATCGCATGGACAAAAAACCAAGCACCGCATGTTCTCACTCATAGGTGGGAATTGAACAGTGAGAACACATGGACACAGGAAGGGGAACATCACACTCTGGGGACTGGGGGAGGGGGGAGGGATAGCATTAGGAGATATACCTAATGCTAAATGACGAGTTAATGGGTGCAGCACACCAGCATGGCACATGTATACATATGTAACTAACCTGCACATTGTGCACATGTACCTAAAACTTAAAGTGTAATAATAATAAAATAAAATAAAATAAAGTAGTTCCAAACATTCTCCCTCCATCACAGCCTCTGTGGGATTCACTTTCAGAGTATCTGGGGGTCCGACACACCTGGATTCAAATTCCGCCTCCTCCATTACAAGCTCTGTGACCTTGAGCAGTTATTTAACCCCTCTGGATTCATTTACCCATTTAAATAACAGAAAAAAATAATACTTCTCAGGAGAAGAGGTTCACTTGGTTTCTACTCCAACACCGAGTCCCAAGTGGCCTCCACATTGCCAAACCCAGTGGGCACTCCTTTCTCCTCATCTTACCTCTTTGCACATCTGCCAGAGTCCCTCACATCCTCTTCTTGTCTTTGAAGCTCCTTCATCCCCTTCTTTGTCATTCTCTCATTTTCTCCTTCCCTCTCCTGGAATTTTTTCTGCAATTACCCTTTAAATGCCAATGTTTTTAATCATATGAAAAGATGCTCAACCTCACTCAAAATAGTGGAATGCAAATTAAAACAATGTGAAATCATTTTTCACCCAATGGATTAGCAAACCATGAAGAGTTTGGCAGCAGTCTGTAGGCAGTGATGTAGGGAAACAGACATATTCATGCACTGTAGAGATGCCCTGGCACAACCCCTTTAGATGACAATTTGGCACAGTCAAAATTTTAAATGTCTGAGAGTATTTAATCCAGCAATTCCATTTATAAAAATTTGTACTAGAGATAAAATCTACTAGACATCTACCGAGTGTCCATTCTCTCCTTTACAACAAAACCTGATTTTGTTGGCAAAAACCATGAACCCAACTAAAAGGCATCTCCAAGCCTCCCTTGAGATAGGAACAGTTGCTTGACACAGGTCTGGTCAATGAGATGCAAGCAAAAATTATTTGGAAAGCTTCCAGAAAATCTTAAAAGGATATAACAGACTTAGCTTGTGATGAACTCTTCTCCCTCTTACTGTCTTCCCTCCCATCTCCTGCCTGGAATATGGATGTGATGGCTGGAGCTTCAGCAACCATCTTGTAACCATGGAAAAGAGGCATGAGAACTCACTGTGACACTACTGAGCCACTAAACCATGTCAGTTTTGCCTAAGCTAGATTTCTTATTATATGAGGGAGAAAAAAACCAAATATTTTCTGTTGTTTGATTTTTCTGTTACATGCAGCCAAAATCAATCCCTAAATGTTTGTATGCACACGAATATTTTTATGGTGTTGTCTATATAGCAAAAGCCTGAAAACAGACTGAATTCCTACCTGTAGAGAACTGGTTAATTAAATTATGGGGCATGTATATCATGTGACATTATGTTAATATTACCCAGCTATATAAAAGAATGAGGTGGATTTTTAGTACTAATAAGGAATGATCACCAAGATATTTAGCGAAATTTTAGAAGAAAGACATAGAAAGGTAAATGAAGTGTGCTAACATATATATATTGCTTCATAGACATAGAATATCTCTAAAAGAACACATAAGAAACTGATGTATCTCTGGGGATGGGGTTTGTAGGGATTGGGAGGGAGAGGGGAACTCACTGTTCACTGTATACTCTTTTGTATTGTGTGAATATTAATTATGTGCATCTTTTATCATCCCAAGTTTGTTAATTAGGCTTGTACTGCTTTATCAAAGAGAGAAAGAGAGAAATAGGTTGAGGGGCGGGGGGAAGTAAGAAAGGTCAGCCATTTCCAGGACTCATTCGTTTCACTGGACAGCCCTATCCCATGACCTCAACTCCCACAGATATATTAAAGGATCCAAACCTGAATATGCAGCCATGAGTCCTCTGATGAACACCACATTTATCTATCTGGCAACCCACCACTCACTGGACATCAGCACATAGTCTCCCAGGAACCTGACTCAGCATGTCCAAACCTGCAACCCAACTCCTCCACTGTCTGAGTAAAGTGCTTCAGCCTTCAGTCAGCAATGCCCACTCAGCGACCCTGCCAACTGTGAAAGAATAGCTCCAAGTCCTGCTTTTCTCCCCCTGTCTCAAACCTCCCTCCTATCTGGGTTCTTTGGTGTCCCTAGAGACCCTGCACTAGTTAGAACCTTCCAAGAACTTAGCCAGATGCCCTAACCCACCTTAGGGGCCTCTTCCTCACCACTCAGTACCATACACCACACTTGTCACTTTTAGTTCACGTCTTCCCTCCTAGGCTGGAATCTCATGGGAAGAGGGCTCACTTTTGTGTCTTTCTCTGCTACAGGTTCCTCATATCAGTAGCAGGATCTGAGAGCAAGGGTCCTGTACCAATTGCACAAGCTAAAAAATGTGGCCATTGCATCACTCTGACATTGATCATGTCATCTCCATTCAACTTCCTGACTAGCCCTGGGACCATTCACTTCTCTCCACCTCTGAAGCCGCTGTCCTAATTCAGACCTGACACAATGCCAGGTACATAAACGTCCAACAAATTTACTTTTATTCCTTCCTTCCACTCTCCCATGATCCAATTTCCCCAGGTCTTTCCAGCCTTTCTGGTGGTACAAGTAGGGTCACCTTGGCGGTAAGAATGTGCATATTGCTGGTGCTGCTCACGAAAGACACCTCCTCTTTGCTTGCTCAGTGATTCTGAGAGTTCCCAGAGGGTCTCAGAAGATAACCCATCAGCTACCTTTGCCACATCACATCCAGCTTGTTTTTCCTCTTCTGCCCCAGCCTCACCTTCAGGACCCACTAAACCACTGTCTGCAGGGCTGACAGGATGGTGCAGGTGGCCCTGCCCACAGCACTATCATGATGCTGCTTAACATCATACCTGCAGCATCTCCTTCCACCAGGTTTGACACGTGCCTGAAGTAGGGCCAGCATGTGAGGGGTGCCCCTGACCACGCTGGCCTCTCCCTCCTGCCCTCTCTGCTCTCCCCTGAGTGGGCTCTTCCCCTCACATCCACTATGGGACTCCCAAGAAGACAGCCCCTTTCCCTCCTTCCTCTCCCAGCCTGGGAGCTCACTCAGAGCTCTCCAAGTACATTTCTGTCTCTCTGGCCTAGCAGGAGCTGGATCCCTACAGCCGCCAAGAGGCCAGAGTGGTCACAGTTTATTCCCATCACTGCTTCCCTCTAAATCTGAACTGTGACCAAGGGAAAAAAAAAACAGGAGAGAGAGAGAGAGAGAGAGAGAGACAAAAAACCATAGGAACAGGACGTCCTTTTCAGTTGCCTCTCCAGTTCTGTCAGGGGCTTGGTCCAAAAGAGGCTTTAATTGGTCAAACTATGTGTTTTTCACTGAAAGAAAATGCCATAAAATGAAATATGATTCACATTTGTACAGAAGGGTGAAGGGAGGGGGACCCTGCCTTTGTCAGGCCCTTCAAAGGGAAATTGGAGTAGGATGGGGTGGGGAGGGCCTAGAACTCCCATGATCCCCAGAGGGACAAGGACACATCCCCAAGCACACTGGAGCTTGTGCTCTGAGTTGGATTATGGTGGCCAGCGATGTCCATCCTCAGCTTCCTAACTGGGCACCCAGTGCTGACCTCACAGCAGCCGCCTGTGCCACCCTGAGTGTGTGGAAGACAGGAAGGGCATCTGTAGCCTAGGATCATGGGGGCCACCATGGGAGGAAACCAGGAGGGGCCCCCACCCCCAAACAGAGGAGACATCTAGGGGATATGTCTCCTCCAGGCCCCTGGAGGAAGCCTGTGCAGGGAGCTTGAGCGGGAGCAGCAGCCGCTCCTCTGCCCATGTCTGCTCCCTTCTCCCATCTCCCACCTCACTCAACAGCACCCCATTTAGATATTCCTTCCAAGATGAGAAATATGCTCCATGTCCACTGGAAGATGAGAGCTGAAAACAAGATATGTCAAAATGACAGAAAGGTAGTCAATTCAGTGCCACATGTCACAAACCCGAACCCCCCATTTATAAATTTCAGGAGCTCCCAGATGAACTCACAACCTCACCCAAACCTGCCCCAGCTGATGCCTGGAGCTCCATCACTAGTGCTGCACTTCATGACTCCAGATTGAAAAGACCCAGAGGAAGAGGCGTATCAGTTCCCACAACATTTTAGTGAGAGGCATGGGGAGTAACCTTGAGGACACTGGAAATCCACTGTGTGTGTATGACAGAGCCAGAAGAGAGGGAGAAGGAAACCAGGAAGGTGGGTGGAGAAGAGGTGGAGAAAGGGACACTCCAAAAAAGTAGAAGGGAACTAGATGCTGGGGAGACCAGACGCTTCTGGTGGCAGGAATCCCTACCTTTGTGTGATATTCTCCTACAGCCTAGCAATGCAGGTGCAGGAGTGGAGTGGGTGGTTGGGTTGATTTGATGTTAGACATTTTGAGGATAATATTGGTGAAGAGACAATGGGGACAAGAATTTTGAGACCCCTCAACAGGGAAAGTGACCAGAAATATGTGCTTTCTAATGATGAGGAGAGACAGCAGGTGGCATGTATCACAAGGAAAGAATTTTTTTCAAGGGTGTTATAAAGTGATGGTATAAAACTGATACTTGGAACCCAACACAGCTCTATGTTTGATGAAAAGTGACATTTTATTCAAGGCAAGAAAGTCAAGGGAACTTTCCAGGAAAAACCCAACGCTGTAAGAATATTTGTTTGCCTAGAAACTAGGCTAGAAAAGGCAGAGTGAAAAGGTGAAGATGGCAGTCAGCTAAGGATGGAAGGGTGTGTAGGAGTTGAAGGGAATGGGCAGAGAGACTCTGGAGAGACCTTCTCCTGGAACAGAACTCCTGGTCAGTGGACTGACATACAAAGCAGCAGCTACAAGAAGAATTAACTAATGATCTTTTGCAATTATACTGGGAAAGATGGTCATTTGGTTGCTTAAATAAGTATGATCTCTCATTAAGTGAAAATATTTAAGCTTCTTATTGGAATATAATGAAGGACCTCACATTTGTTAAAATGAAGGAGGGAGGAAGGGAGGAAGTCAAGCATAGTGTTTTCTTTTTCACAGGCCATAAGTGCAAACAAAGAAACCACTACTACTTCTTAAAGGAGGAAGAAGAGGAGGGGGAAGGAGGAGGATTAATATAAAGAAGAAGCAGGGGACCACAACCCCATCAATCCAGCTTCTCAGTAGGTCATAAAAGCCCAAGATCAGCGTGGACCAGAGCAATCAACAAAGACTTCCTGGAGGAAGCAGGATTTGAGCAAGTCCTCCAAGGAAAGGTCAATGGGAAGTGCACATCTCAGGATGACAGCTTGGGCCAAGCTGAGAGGCAGTACCATCCTGATAAGGCTCCTGTAAAAACAGATGGATTTTACCCAGGGGCCTGGGGAGATGTTCTCTGGCAAGCAGCTTGTTACATCCACAAGCAAAGAGAGCTGGATCCCAGGAAGAGGGAGATGGGACAGGGAGCTCCCCTGGGGATAAGGCAGATGGAAACAGTGGGCCAGAGCAAGGGAGCCTGGGGCCAAGGATGAGCAGGAGATGTGCCTGGGGCCAATGGAGCTGGTAGAAAGGCCAGCCCACTAGAGCAGGGAGCCCAGAAGGGGGACTGGAGATGAAATGTGCCCACCTCACAGCTATGCCTGACACTAGCCCTAGGAGATGACGAGGTAAGGTGCCCTGCAGACCTTTTCACATGTGGTGCTCTGCAAGCCCTAATGCCAGCTCACACATCTCATCAGGGTCTTGGTGGCAGGCTGGTGTCCAGTGCCTGCTGCTTGCTTTCCTCTTCAGAACCTGATTCCCTGAACCCTGCTGACCCTACCCAAGCTAACATTCTGAAGAGTCTCTGCCCCAGCCTCCTGCCCTGCAGGCCCCACTAGATATCCTCTCTCTCACTCTCTCCCAGTGTGGAAAGAGCCCTGGATGAGGAGTCTAGTTCTGATCAGGGCCAGGAAAAGCCAGCACCCATCTCTGGTCCTCTCTGTCCCCCACAGGCACAATGGGCGCCGTAATACCAATTCTGTCTATGTCGCAGAGCGCTTTAGGATGGAACGAGGTAAATGTGCAGGAAAGCACTTTGGAAACTTTCAAATGTTTTGAAGGTTTATTATGATTATTATTCATGTCTGATTTCGCCGCCTCTGTGGAGCCCCAGCTCGAGTTTGTGCCTACGCGATGCCAAAACAACCAGTCAAATCCATCAAAAAGTCACTCAATTGAGTGGGAAAAAATGCAGACAGCTCTGTTGTGTATTATCAAAAAAATTAAGCTGCAGGCAGATCACTAGTGTTTTTGAGAACGTGCAGTGGGTTGTTCTAGGCACTGTTTTGAGTTTTTCTATCTAAGGCTTTCACCTCCCATGAACCAATTTTTTTAAAAAGATGACAATAGAAAAATCAAGGCCCTCAGTTGTTTCCCAGGAGTGAATATGGCTTCAAGATGTCAAGCTTAAGAGAGAAGAAGACAGATATTCTTGCAGAGGAGGGCCTGTCTCTCTCTTGACCCCTCACTCACAGCAGGTCTCAGGCCAGTGGGCTATCTTTCGTTGGGAAGGTCAGCTAAGAAGCAATTTTGAAAGCTCCCCACATGGGTTGGCATGGGGGCGGTGGGCAGTGGGGTGGGAATGAAATACCTGAACAGCCTGCCAAACCCACAAAGGCTTCAGGAGCCCTGGCCTTGACTGCAAGGGGCAAGCACCCAGGAGCTGAGGACCAGTGGTATGAGGGGTTGGCAACAGGGGATAGAGAAGATTTTGAGATAAGAATATGTTTTTAAAACATAAATGTCCCAAGAGGGTTGCTCCAGAGTGGCAGAGGAGAAACTCAAGCCAGTTGATTTTCCTCCATGTGAGCAGTTCCACTGAACATTTTGCTGGGGGGAAAGATGGAATCTAATTTTTAAGAAGAGGTTTGGCTATCATTCATGACTTTTATTTATGCAGGCCTCCTTGACACATTATTCTCATCAGGAGGTATCTGGCTCAAAAATGAAATTGCTGGATGGAAATGGGAATATATATGAGTGAAAACTCATGTTGCATCCTAAATTTAATTCTCTAGGTTAACAAGTCCTTCCTGAGCATCTGTGTGTTCCCAATCCCTTGCTAGGTGGGAGGTGGGAGAGGGGCAGGAGACAGTGTCAAAGAGGACAAGACTAACAAGTATGAGAAGGGCTAAACGAGGCCATGCCACTGGGTCATAGGAGTTTAGACTTGAATGTGGGCTGGAGCCGTTCCTATGGACAAGGTAGGTTTTGAGACAGTATTTGGAAAGGAGATTTGGGGAAACACTAAAGCAAGCACCTCTATCCAAATACTATTTTGATTATGATAATTAGTATGCTGAAATGGAACTTGAAGGATAGTTACAGTAGTAGATACTGTCAGTGCTCTACCTGTATCCCATCAGAACCAACAATTTCCATGACTTCCAACTGCGTGCACCTGCAGCTCCTTTCCTAGGGGCTCCCCTTTGGCTGCTGGAGCTCTCCCTGCATGAGCTGGAGGAAGGCTAGGAGCAACAGAGAATTAACACCCACCCCCAGCAGCCCACATCAATGACTGATGGGAATGGATGTGTAGATACCCCACCTCCCTGACCCCACTATGGGGATAACTCTAAGGTGTGCATTCTATGCTAGGTCCCAGAGTTCTGCAGTGGACAGAGCCCTAGGTGCCCACAGTGGTAACTGCTTGAGAGCACACCTTTGTTGACTGCCTTCTCTTCTCTGTCTCCCTTCCCCACTCCCAACCAGTGTTTCCTCGGATCATCTCCCAGATAAACTACCTGTACTTGAAACTCTTATCTCATTGTCCGCTTCTTGGGGAACTCTAATTGAAATAATACATGTCTTATCCCTTTGAGTGTAATTTCATATCTTTTATCCTATTTAATCCTTCAGCAGTCTAAGGAAGCAGGAATTATTCTCATTGTTAGGGGTTGGAATTGATATCCAAAAAGTTAAGATAACCAGCTGAAATCACGTGACTAGTGGCCATGGATTTTGCATTGTGTTTAACATCCGATTTGCTGATTCCTAGCCTAGTACTCTCTCCACCACACCCTACTACCTCTGGTCATTCCCATCTCTAAAGAACCCTGCATGCTAATTCAGCCCTAGAGCTCATGTTGGCAGCAACCTTAAAGGAGGGGTGCACAGAATTATACATTGTCTAAAACTTTGCATATCTTGGCTATAACTAAATATAAATATACAAAGTCCTGTTACCTTTACATATGAACAACTTAGTGGAGCCAAGAATTTTTGGGTCACAATCCTGGAACTCTGCTGCTGAATAATTCCCAAAGTAGCAGTTTCTGAGACACTTTTATATGGACATTAATAAAAGTATAAAATTTTTTCTTGGAAGGGCATGCACCACTGTTCATGCCTATAATCTCAGCACTTTGGGACCCTGAGGTGGGAGGATCTCTTGAGCCCAGGTTTGAGACCAGCCTGGGTAACATAGTGAGACCCCATCTCTGCATAAAATAAAATTAAAATTAAAAAACTTTATTTGAAAATATGGATAAACAAAGATAAATCATTTTTTACTGAGTTAACAAGCTCTGTAAATTTCCAAAGGAAGCCTATAGCATTTCCCAAGCATGTTTGATTGATTAAGATATCTTCCTTTAGGCAGGGCTCGGTGACTCACACCTGTAATCCCAGCACTTTGGGAGGCCGAGGCAGGCAGATCACAAGGTCAGGGGATCGAGACCATCCTGGATAACACAGTGAAACCCCGTCTCTACTGAAAATACAAAAAATTAGCTGGGCGTGGTTGCAGGCACCTGTAGTCCCAGCTACTCGGGAGGCTGAGGCAGGAGAATGGCGTGAACCCAGGCGGCGGAGCTTGCAGTGAGCCGAGGTTGCGAGACTGCACTCCAGCCTGGGTGACAGAGTGAGACTCTGTCTCAAAAAAAAAAAAAAAAAGATATCTTCCTTTCAGAGCATACCTCTCGGTCTCCCAAAACAATGATGGGCATAAAATCTACTTAAGAATTGATGCTGTAGTATTCACCCAATTTTCTTGATAAAGGAGAGATCCAAGTTCAGACTGAATTTCTTTTCCCATTTACCCAAAACATAAAATCTTCACCAGGATGCATTGAAATATCAGACTCTGTTAATATTTTTTATATTTTTCAATATGTTTTGTTGAAACACAGTTCAGCTCTTTTGATCATCCTTTCTCATCTCAGAAAAATATTAGTTTATGCCTTCGATTGTTACTTCCTTTCCATTTTTAAGGTGGCTTCCTGGTTTGTTCTTCAGGAATTGTCATCCTTCCTTTTTATTAATTCCATCTCTTTGGCCTGTTGCATGGCATCCTAGAAGCTTTTCCTGCGTTCACTCCCTCCATCGCTGATTTTATTTTCCACAATGTCAGGTTCCTAACCACTTTCAACACATATTGAAACACATAGGCAAACAGTGAAAAGTATGTCTGTCTTCCAAATTTGCCCCTGTAGGTAAGAATTGTTACCAGTCTCTTAGAATCTTTCTAGAGATAATATATACACAAATGTGTGCACACACAGGCACACATCTACATATTTATCTCTTTATATGTGTTTAGTGGCAAATCCCTCTGTTGTTGGGGATGGCAATATGTCTGAAGATATATGTACATTTTCCAAACTCCTCCAGCCTCATGGTGTCAGTTATGACACTTATGGATCCAAATAACAGAAAGTCCAACTCAAAATAGTGTATAAGGACATGTATTCTTTTCCATGACAAAAATGGCAGCTCCAGGGCTGCCATTGATTAAGCACTTCAACACAATCATCAAGAACCCAGAATCCTTCCATCTTTTTATTCTGCCAGCCCCGGCATGTTAACCTGTCAATCTGGGTTGCCTCATGGTCCCAAGATGGCTGCAGGTGTTCCAAGCATTACATCAGAAACAATCATTTCTAGAAGTAGAAAACTTACTATTTTTTCCTTGTGACTTTTTTGAAGAATGATAAAAAATTCCCAGAAGCCCCCAACAGACATGGGGGTGGTTTCCCCCATGCTGTTCTCATGATAGTGAGTGAGTTCTCATGAGATCTGATGATCTCTTCCCCACTTCACTCGGCACTTCTTGGCACCATGTGAAGACGGATGTGTTTGCTTCCCCTTCTGCCATGATTGTAAGTTTCCTGAGGCCTCCTCAGCCATGCTGAACTGTGAGTCAATTAAACCTCTTTCCTTTATAAATTACCCAGTCTCAGGTATGTCTTTATTAGCAGCATGAGAACTGACTAATACAAGAGGTGACATCAGCAAAAATGGGAGCATAAGGACCTCTGAAAATTCTCTCCTCCATAAAAGCAATGAGAAAACTGGCCGAAAAAAATGGTCAGAATCAACTTTTTTAGAACTCTGAAATTTAATCAGAGTTCATTATTAACAGAGCACTTATTCAAGAAAAATGACTGAATCTCATTAAAAACAGCAAGCTTTGTGGCATTTTAACTTGCCCCTTCCTATTTTCCACTCCCTCGCTCCTTAATTGCCTTAAAAAAGAACAGCCTAAAAGGAAAAAAAAAAAAAAAAAAAAAAAGAACATCCTAGGCCAGGCACGGTGGCTCATAACTGTAATCCCAGAACTTTGGGATGCCAAGGCGGGTGGATCACTTGAGGTCAGGAGTTCAAGACCAGCCTGGCAAACATGGTGAAACCCCATCTCTACTAAAAATACAAAAATTAGCTGGGCATGGTGGCACATGCCCAGCTACTCAGGAGGCTGAGGCAGAAAAATCACTTGAACATGGGAAGCAGAAGTTGCAGTGAGCCGAGATCATGCCACTGCATTCCAGCCTGTGTGACAGAGCAAGACTCCACCTCAAAAGAAAAAGAACAGCCTATACTTACAGTGCAAAGTAGCATCCTGGCAGCCACCGGACAGAGCAAAACAGGGCTGGAACACTTTCAAAGTCTCAATCCTAAAGAATTGTCATTATTTGACATGTCTGGTAATTCCCTGGAAGATCCCACTTGCAAGACTCTCTTTATTTTAATTTTTTTTAACCTGACTCAGTACTTTCTCAGGGTGAAAAGGCTTTTTCCCCTTGGGGACATTGAAAACAATTAAAGACAAATGTTTAACTTCACACTACGTAAGGTGGTGGATAACAGTTGGAGCAAACATTAGACTAACCAAAAAGGAGGAGCTGGGGAATGGGATGTCCATGGGGGCTTTGAAAATCTCTGACATATTTCCAGGAACCTAAAAGGTCACATGCATGCTCAGGGCTGTGCACATGTTCAGGAAAGGCCTGAGGAGGCCCTCAGCTCTCACCTCTGGCTGAATTTGAGGACCTGTACAAGCAAGTGAAGGCTGAGAAAGGCATGTCACTTGCCTGGCTGAGTGTTGAAAGTGTTTCCCAACACTCACATGGAGGCCCCTTGGCAAAGACTGGGAGACTTACTGTTTTCAGACGCATAAGGAATCTCTGTCCAGTCATCATCTGACCACTAAACTCACCAAGCAGAGACTTCAGTGACCACACATGACACAGAATACAGACTACAATATTAGTCCAGAAAAGTCATTAAACAGACAGCAACAAGATCTACACCATAAGCAACAACAACAAACAAGTGATTTTTAAAAACACAGCTAGTAAACTAGTAGTATAAGGTAATTTCCTTAAGCTAATCAGTAACCTGATTTCTGAAGTTGCCACACTATATTATTTTATACATATAGATTTAAACAAAAAAGGAAACATGCAAATAAATAAGAAAATATGATCCATACACAGGGAATAAAGCAATCAATAGAAACAGTTCCTAAGGAAATCCAGATGGCAAACTTACTAGACAAAGACTTCAACTCAGCAATTTTATTTTGTTTGTTTGTCTGTTTTAGAGATAGGGGTCTCACTATGTTGCCCAGGCTAGTCTCAAACTCCTGGGCAATCCTCCTGCCTCAGTCTCCCAAAGTGCTGGAATTATAGGCATAAGCCATCATGCCCAGTCAAATCAGCTATTTTAAATGGAATGGAATAATATTCAGCCATACAAAGAATGAAGTGACGATACATGCTAAACCATGAATGAACTTTGAAAACATTATGCTAAGTGAAAAAAGCTAGTCACAAAAGATCATATTATTCTATTTATATAAAATATCCAAAATAGGCAAATTTATAGAGATAAAAAATAGATTCATGATTGCCTAGAATGAGGGAAAATGGCTGTGGAAGGATGGGGAGTGACTGCTAATGGGTAGAAGGTTTTATAAAGGAATTATAAAAATGACTTTAATGATGGTTACACATATCTGTGAATTTACTAAAAACCACTGAAGTGTATACTTTAAATGGGTGAATTGTGTGGTATATGAACTATACCAACAAAGTTGTCATTTTATTTTATTTTATTTTATTTTTGAGATGGAGTCTTGCTCTGTTGCCCATGCTGGAGTGCAGTGGCGCGATCTCGGCTCACTGCAAGCTCCACCTCCCAGGTTCATGCCATTCTCCTGCCTCAGCCTCCCAAGTAGCTGGGACTACAGGCGCGTGCCACCACACCCAGCTAATTTTTTTGTATTTTTAGTAAAGACAGGGTTTCACCATGTTAGCCAGGATGGTCTCGAACTCCTGACCTCGTGATCCACCCGCCTTGGCCTCCCAAAGTGCTGGGATTACAGGCGTGAGCCACCGTGCCCGGCCAAAGCTGTCATTTTTAAATAAATAAATAAAACTAGGTCTAAGCAAAGAAGAGCAGCCAAAGAATGACTGTACAAAAAAGAATCATTCCTTTGCCAAATGCTGCCTACCTGGCTTCTTCACACTCAAAGTGACTCTTCAAGAATTTGTAATTATAAGCCTATGTCTACTTTAACTTTGTTTTTGAAGAAATTGATTGCAGGTGGCCATAACAACTCCCTGCTCCCATTCAGAGTCAGCCTTCATGCCTCTGATGGAGGTCCACTGAGAGGGGGTCGCTCGCTGGTTCAAGTTTCAACATGGAACTAAAACGAAAACCAGCCAGTATTCCTTTATTAATTACTTGAATAAATATTTGCTGGACACTTGCAATTGAGAAGGTCCAGATGCCCCTGGAAGTCTCCAATGGGAAAGGAGCGAGAAAATATTCTGTTTCTTGATTTGGGCGATGGTTACACAGGTATGTTTACTTTACGAAAATTCAGCAAGCTGTTTGCCTGTGATATGTGCATGTTTCTCTATGTATGTTATACTTTAATAAAAAGTTTACTTTAAAAATATTCCAGCCAGGTGTGGTGATACATGCTTGTAGTCACAGATAATTGAAAGGCTGAGGCAGGAGAATTGCTTGAGCCCAGGAATTAGAGGCTGCAGTGCACTATGATCCCCTATGAATAGTCACTGTACTCTAGCCTGGGCAACATAGCAAGACTCTGTCTCTGAAGAAAAAAATTTATATTCCATTGCAAGGAATATTTGAAGAGGGTGGAGGGATGGAACTGGTAGGAATGGGGTGTTTACAGGAAATGATGACAGTGAATATGGACCACCCTTTTTATTTAATTGTAAACTGTACAAAAATATACCCAAAAATGTGAAAGCATATATGTACAGGTTTCAAATGATCATAAAGTACCCATGTGTTTGCTCAAGGAAAAAATATAGGACATCATCAAGTGTTTACAGATGAATTGATATTCACAGATTTTCATTAAAATACTCTGGCAAAAGAGGGTGGTGGGCAGTATAAATGAAATTTTCAGATAAGCTTAGAGAATAATTTCTCTTCTTTTTTATTAAATTAGATTCTAGTTCTCTGGTGAAATTTTCCATCTTATCACTTATATTCTTAAACATGCTAACCATGATTATTTAAAACTCATACATCCAGCATCTAGATTTCCCGTGGGCTTTTTTTATTCCTTTGATTTCAAGTCAATTGCTTTGACCTCTTGATATCCCTGGTAATTTCTGATTGAATATCAGACATTGTTTAAGAAAAAGTACAGACGGTTTAGGATTATGTTATAACCCTTTGTTTATGGCAGACAGTAGAGAAAATTGCCTTAATCCAACCAGGGATTGAGATGCTTTGAGGTCTCTGTACCCGTATCTCCACAGGTCTTACCTGCAAGTCTGGATGTTCACTGATGTCCCTCCATGTTGGAAGGCTTTGAAAATTTATTTTTGCCTCCTCAGCACCACAAGACTTCCAAAAGCTCTACTTCGTTTCAGAGTTGGATTCTCAATAGATGAAAAAAAAGCATTTGATAAAACTCAACACCCATTTATGATTTTTAAAAACACAGTTAGCAAACTAATAGTATAATTTCCTTAAGCTAAAAAAATAATATCAACAAAAGCCCTACATAAAATAAAAAGCTGAAGCTGGGCACGGTGGCTCATGCCTGTAATCCCAGCACTTTGGGAGGCCAAGGCGGGTGGATCACAAGGTCAGGAGTTCAATACCAGCCTGGCCAAGATGGTGAAACCTCATCTGTAGTAAAAAACTTCAAAAATTAGCCAAGTGCGGTAGCAGGCACCTGTAATCCCAGCTACTTGGGAGACTGAGGCAGGAGAATCGCTTGAACCCAGGCAGCAGAAGTTGCAGTGAGCCAAGATCGCATCGCTGCACTCCAACCTGGGTGACAGAGAGAGACTCTGTCTCAAAAAAACAAAACAAAACAAAAAGATGGAGAGAGACTCCATCTCAAAAAAAAAAAAAAGAAAAAGAAAAAAGAAAAAAAAGAAAAAGAATAAGAAAAAACAAGAAACTGACCAATTTAAACCTTTCTACCATAGACTGAGTGTTGTATCCCCTTCAAATTCATGTTTTAAAACCTAATCCCCTACGTCATGGCATTAGGAGGTGGAGCCTTTGGGAGGTAATTAGGCCATCAAGGTGGAGCCTTCACAGATGAAATTGGTACCTTTATGGAAAAAAAATAAAAGGACCCCAGAGAGATCCTTGGCCTCAGAAAGATCCTTGGCCTCTTTTGCCATGTGAGAACACAGTGAAAAGATGGCTGTCTATGAACCAGGAGGGGAGCACTCACCAGACACTGAGTCTGCTGGTGCCTTGATCTTGAACTTCCCAGCCTCCAGAACTGTGAGAAATAAATTTTTGTTGCTTAAGGACCCCAGTCTATGGTATGTTGATATGGCAGTCCAAACTGACTAAGACATGTTCCTCCTGAGATCAGAAATGAGACAAAGTTCCGACTGCTGGTTATCACTTTAGCTTTCTTCAGTGTGAGTTTTCTCTGTGCCTCTAACTGTAGTGAACACACAGCAAACCTCCCCAGAAGGCTTGCTAATTGCTATGGACTGACTTTTTGTGTCCCTCCAAAATGCATATGTTGAAGCCTTAATCCCCAACGTGATAGTATTTTGAGATGGGGCTTTGGGAGGTAATTAGTCCAAAGGGTAGAGCCCTCATTATGGGATTTAGCACCCTAATAAGAAGAGACATGAGCTTGGCATGGTGGCTTGCCCCTGTGATCCCAGCACTGTGGGAGGCCAAGGCAGGAGGATCATTTGAGCCCAGGAGTTCAAGACCAGTGTGGGCAACATGGTGAAACCCCATCTCTATCAAAAATACAAAAATTAGCCGGGCATGGTGGCATGTGCCTGTGGTCCCAGCTACTTAGGAGGCTGAGTTGGAAGGACCACTTGAGCCCAGGAGGTTGAGGCTGCAGTCAGCTATGATTGCACCACTGCACTCCAGCCTGGGTGACAGAGTGAGACCCTGTCTCAAAAAATAAATAAATAAAATATTATAAAAAATAAGAAGAGATGAGAGATGATCTCTGTCCTCATCATGTGAAGATATAGTGAGAAGGTGGCTGTCTACAAGTCAGGAGGCAGGTTCTCAGGAGGCACTCAATCAGCCAGAACCTTGACCTTGAACTTCCCAGCCTCCATTACTGTGAGAAATAGGTTTTTGTTGTTTAAGCCACCCAGTCTATGGTACTTGTTACAGCAGCATGAGCTGACCAAGTCACAAACCTTGAAGTGAGGAGGCCACATCCTGCACCCCTCTGCACCTGGCATCCATGGTGAGGCCTCACCACAGAGCAGTGACACATTCCAGAGGAATCCCCTCACCCAGTCCTCTCTTCTTCACTGTCTGGCCCTTCTTGTCTCCTTGCTGTGATTCTGGGGCCCAAGAGTCACAGCCTTGGGGACCATTTCTTTTTTAAACTCTACTTACAGAGATCTGCCTCTGGGATGCCTCATCCATGTCACTGGGAGTCCCAGTCAAAACTTCAGTTTTAACGCCTACCATAAGACATTTTGATGGTTGCCCAATGAGATGGGTAAGAAATGGTGTCTCATTGTTGCCTCCCTTGCATTTTTTTAATTAGTGGTTGCACTGTGCATCTTTTCATATATGTGTTGGCTCTTCAAGCTTCCTCTTCTGCCTGCATGTTCCTTCTTCAATCCACTTCAACCTGGCTCCTCCTCCAACATGACACCAGAGATGTTCTTGTCAAGGTCCCCAGGGACTTCCATGTTACCAGACCAATAGATAATTTCCTCTTCTCAGCATCATTCAGTATCTTTGACCACATTTTCCCTTTTAAAGCTTCGTTCCCTCCTGACTATCATGTCGCCACCCTCCAGGTTTCCACTAACCTCCCTAGCAGTTCTTCCTCTTCTCCACTGCCCGCTTTTCCTCCTTTATCTGTACCTCCAGAGGCATTTTTTTCCTCTCTACCTGCATTATTTCCCCAGGTGACTTTAGCCATTTCCAAGGCTATCTGTGTGCCCTCCACTCCCAGATTAACTTCCCTCAGAACTATCCTCAGGGCTCTAATCTAGATATCAAAATGCCTCCTGAGGGCCAGGTGCAGTGGCTCACACCTGTAATCTCAGCACTTTGGGAGGCTGAAGGGAGAGGCTCACTTGAGCCCAGGAGTTTGAGACAAGCCTGGGCAACATAGGGAGAACTCATCTCTACCAAAAAAAAAAAAAAAAAAAAAAAAAAAATTAGCCAATTGTGGTCACGCACACCTGAGGTTCCAGCTACTCAGGAGACTGAG
This sequence comes from Homo sapiens, assembly GCF_000001405.40. Lineage (NCBI taxonomy): Eukaryota > Metazoa > Chordata > Mammalia > Primates > Hominidae > Homo > Homo sapiens. The sequence continues at coordinate 4,266,882 of NC_000020.11, read as the reverse complement.
GAAGAAGGATCACTTAAGCCTAGGGGGTCGAGGCTGCAGTGAGCTGCGATCACTCACTGGCCTGGGCAACAGAGTAAGACCCTGTCTCAAAAAAAAAAAAAAAAAAAATGCTTCCATACCTCCACCTGGCTGTCTCACAGCATCTCAAATTTAATTTGTCCCAACATTAACTCTCAATGTTCACTAAAAATGTCCTTCTTCCCCCTCTCCATTCTTCCCCACGTCAGCAAATAGTACCTCCCACCATTCAGCCAGTTATGTAAGTCAGAAATCTGGGAGTCGTCCCTGACACCTTCCATTCCCTCAGTCCCCCTCCACATCCAGTTCACCAGGAGTCGGTTCACCTCCAAAATACATCTCAACTCTGACTCCTCTCCCTCTTAGAGCCACCATCAGCTCCTGCCTCATGGTGTACAAAGTTCCGAATGAATTTCTGTAGCTTCCCATCATATCTGAAATAAAGCCCACGCAATTCATTACCACCCACAAAACCCACCATAGCTCGGCCCCCACACTCGTTCGCCCACAGCCTTGGCTTCTTCTCCTGGCTCCTTGTCACTCATATCACAGCTCAGATGTCACCCCTCCAAAGAGAGGTCCTCTCATTAGGAATCTCAAGACACTGCCTCTATGTTGTGTTAGCCTGTTTGGCTGTCTGCATAACACTAATCACCAGCTGCATCCAACTTGTTTCTTTCCTTGTACCTCCCCAAGAATGCAAGAACCTGCTTGGCTGTGTTCACCACATCCCACAGCTGAGAATAGTGTGTGACACAGAGTAGGTGCTTCACAGGTATTTGTTTAATCAATAAATGACTAATGAACGAGTTCCCACTCCTATTCTTGCCATTCATAGCCTGGCACCCAAAAGACTGGGTGAAAAATAGTCACCACGGTGAATCATTGCTCCTCTTAGGTTACTTTTCCCTATTTTGTGAAATGTTTATAATGCACATGGTCATTTTTATGAAAACAACAATCATGACTTTGTTTTATAGATGAGACTATTCATTTATTTATTTATTTTAAGACAGGGTCTCACTCTGTTGCCCAGTCTGGAATACAGTGGTGCAATCATGGCTCATGGCAGCCCCAACCTCTGGGCTCAAGAGATCCTCCCTCATGAGGCTGAGGCAGGAGAATTGCTTGAACCCAGGAGGCAGAGGTTGCAGTGAGCCAAGATTTTGCCACTGCACTCCAGCCTGGGTAACAGAGCAAGACTACGTGTCAAAAAAATTAAAAATTAAAAAAAACAAGAGATCCTCCCTCCTCAGCCTCCCAAAAAGCAGGAACTACAGGTGTGCACCACCAAGCCCACACCACCAGAGTGCAGCCAATGTTTGTATTTTTGTAGAGATGGGGTTTCACCATGTTGCCCAGGCTGGTCTTGAACTCCTGGCCTTAAATGATCCACCTGCCTGAATCTCCCAAAGTGCTGGGACTACAGGCATGAGCCACTGTGCCCAGCCATAAAATGAAACTATTATAAAGCCTAAATCCAATCATATTGTAACACTCCTACCTAAACTCCCTCTGTGGCCTCCTCTTATATTTGCATCTTTCTGCATCTCCAAGTGACCTCCAGCTTCCTCTCCAGCTGCACCTCATGCCCTCAATCTCATCCTCTGTGCTCTACACTCACCAGCCTTCATTTGGTGCCAGGAATGCCAAGACTTTTCTGTTGCAGGAAGTCAGGGACCCCAAACAGAGGGACCGGCTGAAGCCATGGCAGAAGAACGTGGATTGTGAAGATTTCATGGACATGTATTAGTTCCCCAAATTAATACTTTTGTGATTTCTTATGCCTGTCTTTACTGCAATCTCTAAACATAAATTGTAAAGATTTCATGGACACTTATCACTTCCCCAATCAATACCCTTGTGATTTCCTATGCCTGTCTTTATTTTAATCTCTTAATCCTGTCAGCTGAGGAGGATGTATGTCGCCTCAGGACCCTGTAATAATTGCATTAACTGCACAAATTGTACAGCATGTTTGTTTGAGCAATATGAAATGTGGGCACCTTGAAAAAAGAACAGGATAACAGCAATTGTTCAGGGAATAAGAGAGATAACCTTAAACTCTGACCGCCAGTGAGCTGGGTGGGATAGAGTCATATTTCTCTTCTTTCAAAAGCAAATGGGAGAAATATCACTGAATTCTTTTCCTCAGCATGGAACATCCCTGAGAAAGAGAATGCACACCTGGGGGTGGGTCTCTGAACTGGCACCCCTGGGCGTGGTCATCTCTTATGGTCGAGACTGCAGAGGTGAAATAGACTCCAGTCTCCCATAGCGCTCCCCGGCTTATTAGGAAGAGGAAATTCCTGCCTAATAAATTTTGGTCAGACCGGTTGATCTCAAAACCCTGTCTCCTGATAAGATGTTATCAATGACAATGGTGCCTGAAACTTCATTAGCAATTTTAATTTCGCCTCGGTCCTGTGGTCCTGTGATCTCCCCCTGCCTCCACTTGCCTTGTGATATTCTATTACCTTGTAAAGTACTTGATGTCTGTGACCCACACCTATTCGCACACTCCCTCCCCTTTTGAAACTCCCTAATAAAAACTTGCTGGTTTTTGCGGCTTGTGAGGCATCACGGAACCTACTGACATGTGATGTCTCCCCCGGATGCCCAGCTTTAAAATTTCTCTCTTTTGTACTCTGTCCCTTTATTTCTCAAGCTGGCCGATGCTTAAGGAAAATAGAAAAGAACCTACATGAATATCAGGGCAGGTCCCCCAATACTTTTCCACATGTTTTTCTTCTGCTTGAGGCGCATTCATCTGCTCTTCATGAACCTGGCATTTCCTCAAAATCCAATCTCACTTGATGTCCCACCCTCAGAGAGGCCTGCCCTCTCCCCTCCACCTAAGTAACCTATCCCCTCCATTATCCTGCCATGGTACCCTGTAAGTGTTCCTCATTGCACTTTTGTTCTTATCATCTGTTTCCTATAATAGACTATGAGATCCATGAAAGTCAAGGCTTTGTCCTACTCAATATTTTATCCCCAGTAACCAGCAAAGTGCTTGATACATAGTTTACACCTGTAATAAATATGTGTGACATGAACAAATGAGAAAGCAATGTTGGCCAGGTGTGGTGGCTCACACCTGTAATCCCATACTTTGGGAGGCCAAGGTGGGTAGATCACTTGAGGTCAGGAGTTCGAGACCAGCCTGGCCAACATGGCAAAACCCAGTCTCTACTAAAAATACAAAAATAAATAAATAAATAAATAAATAAATAATAAATAGCCAGCATGGTGGCACATGCCTGTAATCTCAGCTACTCAGGAGGCTGAGGCACAAAAACAAAAACCAAAAAGAAAGCAATGTTCAGCCTGAAAGAGTAGAGCAATAATGTAGCCTTTTAGGCACTGTGATAAGACAGTAAGTGAGGTTACCCCTCAATTCAATCACCCTAGATAGGCAATGACTGAAAATTATGAATGATAGTTACTCCTACAGCCAACGTTTCATGGAGAAGGAAATGCATTAAACAGCACAATGAAAGGAACAAAGCCCCCTTTCATTCCCACCATCTCCTCACACCCCTATCAACCTGAGAGATCTGCAGGTTGCAGCATCTCAATTCTTAACACAATGGCACGGGGGCAGTTCCGGCTTGTCAGAGGAGGGGAGTCTAAGAGCACCTTCCTGTGCAGGTGGGTTTATGCTTTCATCACACAGCAGGGAGAGAGTGCAAGCTGCAATTTCACCCTTGTCCCCTATTATCAAAGCCATGCCACTTCCTCCCCAACCTTAGACTATGCCTAAAAGAACTCCCCCAAGGGACCAGGTGCAGCTGGAGGAAGTTTCTTCATGCCAAAGGAAATGTTTGGAAAGTAGGAAGAGCATGACCTTAAATCAGAGCTGGTCAAAGACAGGGCTAACTGGGCCAGGGTCACTGAGTCAGTCCTACATTGGTGACCTACCCTCTGAAAGAAGCTTCTGGCCAACCCCTTTGCCCTACTCTGACCACTCACCTATACACAGCCCAACTCCTCACCTGAATACAGCCCAGCCCTCCCTCTACCTGCACCCTGACCCTCAGCCTGGCCTCATGCAGATGCCTGATCCCAGAAACAGACAATCTTGATTTTGAATGTACATCTCATTTTCTTACCCAGATTGGGAACTTTTTGGAACAATGCAACAATACCTCCTCAAGGACTTAACATACAAATCCACAATGGCCAGACTGTATACAACAATAGAGTCTGCAGCAACCAGCCCAGGAAGCCAAACCCCAGCAGTAATCAACCCGGAATCCTAGGCAGGAATTGGTCAATGACTTTCTTTTTCTTTTTCTTTTTTTTTTTTCTTGAGACAGGGTTTCCCTCTGTCACTCAGGCTGGACTGTAGTGGCACAATCTCAGCTCACTGCAACCTCTGCCTCCCAGGCTCAAGCAATCCTCCCACTTCAGCCTCCTAAGTAGCTGGAACTAGAGGCATGCACCACCACGCCCAGCTAATTTTTGTATTTTTCATAGAGATGGGGTTTCGCCACATTGCCCGGGCTGGTCTCGAAGCAATCCACTGGCCTCAGGCTCCCAGAGTGCTGGGATTACAGGCATGAGCCACTGCACCTGGCCAGGAATTGGTCAATGACTTCCAGCTTCCCTATTTTTCGCCCCTGCTTCCAACTCAAGACCAATCAGAAAAAGTCAAATATGCTCCCCAGTCAACCACATAAGATGCCCTTCTTCCAGTTCGCCCACCTCTGTTGTCCCCATGCCAACAACCTCCAATCACAGCATACCTGAAGCCTTCCCTTTTTTATTCCACTGTGAAGTTTCCCAGTCTCTGCCTGTTTTTGAGTCCCTTCCAAATGCAAATGATGGCTGATTCCTTTGCAAGTTCTGAGTAAATAGCTTCTGTCTGTTCTCATGTGGGTGGTCTTCATTTATTTCCACAGATTTCCTGGCGGTCCTGCTGAGATACAGTCTGCACTGCCCATCACCACGGACCTCAGCCTCTGTCCATGTGCGTGCGGTACTTGTAGAGGTTTCTTGTGCCTTGCCACCTGTGGCTTGTCAAATCCACACCAGTGTGGGAACTCAGCACTAGGTCTGAACTCCACTGTCTTTGCGGTGAGTTCTCAGCTATTTATTATTAGTTTTGCCCCTGATTTTTATTATTCTTCCCATTTGTTTGCGTCTTTGGTACAATCAGACCATTCTTTTTCTTTTCTTTTGTTCTTCCATTTTCTGCTGTGCTGTCAAAATTATTGTTTGTCACAGAACAAGAATCACAGGGTAGAACACAGGCATATATCCCACAGGACTGTTGATCAAGTCAACCTCCTAGACTGGTGAGTTTGTGGTTCTTTCAGACAAACTTTGCTGTGAGTCACCAATAAACTTGGGTAAGGTTTGTCTGCCATCTTTTGTCCAGAGAGAATGTTCTCTCTGGTTTTCTGCAAGAAGTGCAAACTGTCCGGTCTCCCTTTGGAGACCATTAACCATCAGGCTGGGGACCCAGGACACAGGGTACCCAAGGGCTCTCATGGGGTCATCTGAATAAAAATCCTCTCCTCTTCCAGGAAAAAGTCCTGATTCTTACACAGACCTTCATTAGAATTCTAATTATTGTGCCTCATCTCTCTGTAAATAGCCTAACTCCATCAAGAATCATTTGGATCTCCAGTGGCCACTGTGGAGAATGTGTGACTTGAACAAAATTGTTCATTTGAGAGGCACCTTAAAAAACACAGAGAATAAGATACTTTGATCAGCATGCAGAGGCCTGCAGATACAATTCTGATTTTAAAATTGCTTCACTGAAAGGTTCTCTGACCAAAGGTAATGAGCAAGTTGAAAAACTCAACAGCAGACTAGACACATTTTCCTAGTCAATCTCCAGCTCCTTGTCCCCAAGTTCCTTCCCTGGATCCAGTCCTCCCTCTCCCCCGCTTATCCTTTTAATTGCTCTCCCTCTGCACTTCTGCTGACTCCTCCCTCCTCTTCCCTTATCCAGTTCCCAATCCTTTGTCAATAATTCCTAAGACCCTTAAATGCCAGGTGCCTCAAAGATATAACCGCTCCCATGAGCCAGACAGGCAAGCAACTGTAGAATTTAAACCTTGGGCCAGAATTGAATTAATAACCATAAGTACAGATTTTCCTAAACCCAGACAAGACCAGCAACTATTCACAGATAAATTTAGAATTATTTGGGGTGCATGTGACCCAGGGTTACCAGACCTCTATCAATTTTACACACGTTGGTCAGAACCTCAGATGCTAAATCCTACTAAAGGTGATTGGACCGACCTGGATCCCTCTTTCCACAATAAACCTCAAGATAAAAAACAGGCCCAAAAAGTAGGGCAAAATCTCCTAAAAGCCCTACCTGAAATATTTCCAATAAAAATCTATTGGACTATAATCTCATCATGCAAAAAAAGAAAACCTAGGCTTTGATACCCCATTGTTTGCTCAAACACTAGCCTAGATGTTGCTGTGAAGGTATTTTGTATTAATAGATGTGATTGACATCTCTAATCAGCTGACCTTAAGTAAAAGAGATTACCCTCCATTATGTGAGTGGGCCTCATCCAATCAGCTTAAGAGGCCCTACGAGCACATACTGAGATTTTCCAGAGAGGAAGGAATTCTGCCTCAAAACTGGAACGGAAATTCTGCCTGAGTTTCCAGCCTGCAGCCTGCCCTACAGATTTCAGACTTGGCAGCCCCCACAATTGAGTGAGTCAATTCCTTAAAATACAGAAAAATAAAGAAAAAAATATTTTATAAATATATATATATATATATATATATATATATATATATATATATATATATATACAGAGAAACAGACCCAGACCCAACAGGTATATATATATATACACACACACATATATATCCTGTTGGTTCTGTTCCGCCAGGAGAGGGACAATGGGAGAATCCAACTGTTACAGCCCTGCAGATCAAAGAGCTATAGATGGCTCACTTCCAAACTGGTCACCTGTACTAATGAGGATATATTTAGATATCATGAACAGAAGGGACACTGGAAAAATCATCCCATTTGAAAAAAAAAAAAGTATCTCAATTTAGATGAATGAGGGTTCTCTAAGGAAAGAAAAAGTACTCAATAGCCTGCCTTACCCTTAAACATCTAAGGCAAATTAACTATTATAAATATAGATGGTCAACCTCATTGACTCCTGGTAGATATGGGTGCTACTCTTTCTGCAATGAATGCTGCCACCTTCGTTCAACCTCTTCCTTAAACACACCACACCGGTGGCAGATATGTCAAACAGCCCACAAAATTTCCCTATGTCTTAGCCCTTAAATGTAACCCTTGGGCCCTTCTTAAATGATGGCCCTGAATTAATGACTGCCAAGTGGGGGTGGAAATCTCTTAATTTCTTAATCTCTTAATTTAAGACATCTCTTAAATCTCTTAATTAAGAGATTAAGAAATCTCTTAATTTCTTGGTTCCCATATCCAGGTTGCTGAATCTTGTTAGAAAGCATCACAATTTCCTGGTCTCCAACCTCTCAGCTGGACTTTTGAAACTGTTTAGCAATCATATTTGCCCCTGGACAATCTTACTGGCCCCTTTCTCATTTCCCACAATGGTTATTACAAAATCTTATTATTCTTTTTAATTCCCATAACTCCCCAACACCCACATCAGGCAGGACCCTTCTGGATTTCTGAACCCAACAACCTACAAACATCTTCATCTTCCTACCCTCTGTTCTAGTTTTCTCTCTGAAGCAAACTGCTGCAACTGGGCTTAGAATACCACGCCCTGCTACCTATCGAACATCTTACTCCATCCCTCTGCACCTCCTCCTGAACCTTCAACTTCTACCTCCTTATTGAATCTTTTCTCAAAGCTTATAAACACACTCAAACCTCTTCCATCAGAAAGAGTCCACTCCCATTTGTTCTTTCATCTCTTTTTGCATCCGCAACAACTTCCTGCCTCTACTTTCTCACTCCCATTCCCTCCTTGGCCTTCTGTGCTGTACTGGAGGACATCTGAGTTATTTCCAGGTTAAGTATTATGGCCGAAGCTGCTATGAATATTTTTATACATGTCTATGGGGGGGACATAAGCTGAATGTCCCCCCCATAGACATTTCTAGATCACAGGCTATATGTATATTAAGCTTTAGTAACTGCTGCCTTGCAAATTTAAAGGCAGTAAATAATTTCCTCAACTGTCAGTGTCAAAAAGCCTGAAATTTAAAAAACTCATTTTGCCTTGTATCAATCAGCTTTTGCTACATAACAAACTCCGTTGATATCTCAGTGACATGCAGCTAGAAACATTTATTTCTCGTTCATATGTCTGCAGATTGCTTGGCATAGCTTCACTGCAGATGTCTCATTTTGGTGTCTGACATGAAGATGCAATGGCAACCTGAAATATGGTATTTTTGTGGTGATGGCAGAAGCACAAGAACACGAACCCAATCACACAAGCAAATTCAAGCTCCTGCTTTTGTCACATCTGCCAACATCCCCTTGGCCAAAGCAAGTCATATGGCCAAGCTCAATGTCAAGGGGCAAAGACAATTATTGTTCCCACCATGAGGCTATGGAAGGGGTATGGATGTATAATATTACTACAGAGGAGTGAAATGTGGTCACCAATTATGCCGTCTTCATGCACTTATAGACCAATCTTTGCCTCCGCCACAGTTGCTTTGGGGAAAAAAATCCACCTACATAGTATGCGGCAGCATCTTCCTTGAGGTGAAAATCCAGTGTGCTAGGCTCCAAACTCTCTGCTAAATCCCAAGCCTGATGAGACATGAGCCTATTAACTGAGCCCCATGCTTAAGCAGATTTATTCACCCACTACCAGGCAACGCTATTCCTACACAGGTCCATCTACATGGAGGTAGGGACCACCCCTAAGGAAGGGATTCCTAGGTAGGGCTCATGGCATACATTGGAGATAAGTTCTATTCCATGGGCCAGTCACCCCCACGCTGACAGCAGGGGCACGTACTCCTCTGATCCAGCTCCGTGTTCGTGCCTCTCAAAGCGTTCCTCCTAGGAGAAAGGGCCCCACCCCTGCCCTAGACAGACTATGCTCCTTGGGATGAATGAAAGCCCTCTCCAATCATCTCTTGCAGAAGGGCTGACACCTTGGGACACAGACATATACTGTAACCCTCAGTGACACTCAGAGGTGCACAGTCCTTCAGGCATTCATTTGCTTACTCATTTGTTGATGCATGTTTTCATCCACTAACTCAACATTCACTGAACCACTTCAAGAAGCGAGCACTGCGCTGGCTGCTGAGCATAAAAAGACAAATATGTTACAGTCACTGAAAAACCCAAGAAGTTCACTATCTCCAGATAGGAATAAGACCGGTAAGCAACTAAATTACCAAACACTACTCTACAGAGGAATAAATCAAAGACAATAGGGACACAAAGGAGAAGATGAATGGGAGCTTCACAGACACTCAATCCCCAAAGGGGGCAGGGTTATTATCACCATTTTACAAATGGGAAAATGTAAGATCAGAAAGATTAAGTGACTAACTCACAGAGAAGAGAGGAAGGGAGAGTTGTAGGAGCCCAAATGGTCAGGCATGGAGAACTCCAAAGTAGAGAAGGCCAGCCTCACTTCCTAATATTTTTCCTGGGACAGTTGGAATTTTTTGCTTTCTCCATCCTTCCATTTCTCCAGGGAATCATCATCAAGGGAAGTCCTCCTTCACTGTCTTCTCCAGAGATTGAATCTTGGCCCAGGAGAAAGGAAATGGAAAATGGCTCTGGGCCATCTTATTCATGAGCTGGAGGGTTGACATCCCAGCAGGAGTTGTCTCAGCCTCCCTAATTGGGATTGGAGTCATGCAACACTGCCTGGCCTCTAAAGTTGATTACAGGTCACTTCCTCTGAATGGACTGGCCTATTTTAATTCTGCGTTAGGAAATCTCTCTCATTAGCACGCGCTGCTCCATTTGGCAGCCAGAGCACTTGTCAGGTTAGCAAAGTTTATCCCTGGAACTTTCTCACCTTTCTTTCCATCACCACCGAGTATCCCCACTGGATGACTCCCCTACTCCTCCTAGTTCACCATCCCACAATGGCTAAGCAGATCTAAGGGGCTGGAGGAGATAGTGACCTTGTACGTCACCTCTACTAGGAGATGAATTTAATATAATGAGAAACACACTGGTTCTTGGAGTTAGCAGACCCAGATTATAGGGGTGGAATTTCAGGCACTGATAAAGGAAGGTAAGAGATTCCCATTGGCATGAGGTAGATTCTATAGGGAGGGATTGCTTACTCTCTATGAAGGTTAGAACAGTGTTAGCTGAGCCCCTGATACCCACCTTAATTTTCCTATTGCATTCCCAGAGCTGAGTGAGTTGGAATTGTCACCAACTGTCACCAGCACATTCCCAAATGGCATTCCCAATTCTAGCCCTTTTTTAGCTAAGCCATGGTGGAAATGTTCATGTTGGGCCTGGTCTGGAAGAAAGAGCAAACATGAAAAGTCATGGAAGCATCCGCTGGGCCTGGGTACAGTTCTAGTGGGGGGTTCAGGGCAGACAATCTCTCTGCTCTTTTCACAATGCATCTATAAGGCATTTCCTAGCCAAGACCCAAATTGAGTATTCCTAGGTCTCTTGCTGTCCTGCAGTATAGACAGGCTGGACAGTTGCCAAACCCATTCCCTATTCCTAGGCACCTGGCTAAGCCACATTTCCCCCTTGCAAGTAAGTGAGGGTATGGGACTAATGGGCTTAGACACAACTGTTGTGCTTGATTTCTAAAATATCCATGTAATTCTCCACACTCTCCCTTTCTTCTTTGGATATCTTTTATAGACAATCCAGAAGAGATCTCCAGGACTCTGGAGCTTCCCAAGTCTCTAGAAAACAATGAATTCACACATCAAAAGGAGCCTAGATCCCTGAGTTGTCCCATAGAGAAGATCTGCCCAGGACAGCTGTTCAATCAGGTACTTTCACGTTGGCCTTTGAGTAAATGAGAAATGAAGTTTTATTGTGTTAAGTCACTGAAATGTGGGGGTTGCTCATTACAGGTTTTAACATATCCTGACAAATCTCTGCCCTGAGAGTTTTCCACTCCAGTGTGTCTTCCAACTTTGTTCACTATCCTGCTTCCCAGCTTATCTCCTCTCCTGAAGAAAGTAAAAAGAAACAAAAGAATATATCTTAGAAGCAGAAGCAAATACAGCTGCAAAGCAAAGAGCCACCCCAAGGGTCCCCAGAACAGTGGGCTGCTAGCCAGGTTCTGAGTGGGAATTTCATTTCATTGCTACCCGCTACCATTTCTATTAATTTCCAACTCTATTAATTTTAGGCAAATATTAGCACAAATCATCAAATCATAACTGGCTCAAGTTCCCTCCAGCCTCTGCTGACATAGAGATGGAGCTGAGAGGATGGACTACTCAGAAACTCCTTCCTGCAGAAACCACATTCTTTCTCCAGATACTCCCTGACCCATGACCGGTCCTGAGCACCAAACTTCGCTGTCCTGAAGGTATGGGAGGGTAGCACTGAGACCTTACCCTTTCACTCAGTGCCTTTGCTGACCACAGCATGGATCTAGGGAAGAATGGTCTAATTAAGGAAATCAGGAAGGTTTTGAGTCAGTCAGTATTATGGGTTAGGATGTAGCCAGGCTTAGGATCAGGCCATGGTAAGGTAAAAGGTCAGACCAGGGCTAGAGATCAATTCGCAACTGAAGAATGGAATGGATGTCCATATTCTTCATAGGAGTTGATCCCAGGAAGTGGCAGCTTTAACAAAGTCTTCCAATGACATGCATGAATTTGCACCCTTTGGTCTGGCAGTCAGCTCCCACTGCTATTCTAGGACGGGGAGGTACTGGAAAAGGGTTCTTTTAGATTTGGATTTTCTTTGGCGATTTCATTGCAAAGAATCTTCAAGACCCAAATATCAAACTCAGATAAAACTTTTGTCCATGGCAATGCGAAACTCTCCTCCTAACTCTTCCGGGTAGCACTCTCTGCCATTTGAATGCAAGCCCCAGGATGGCAGGGAATTTGCTTTATTTATCATGAGCTGAGCACAGTGGCTTATACCTGTAAAACCAGCACTTTGGAAGGCTGAGGCAGGAGGATAGCTTGAGCTCAGGAGTTGGAGACCAGCCTGGGCAACATAGCAAGGCCCTGTCTCTACAAAAAAAAAAAAAAAATTTTAATTATCCTAGCATGGTGGCGCATGCCTGTTGTCCCAGCTACTCAGGAGGCTGAGGCAAGAGGATGGCTTGAGCCTGGGAGGTTGAGTTCAGAGTGAGCTGTGATCATGCCACTGCACTCCAGCCTAGGTAAACAGAGTGGGACCCTATCTCTCTCAAACAAACAAAAAAAAAGTATATATATATATGTATATATATCTCCCCAGTGCCCAGAATAGTTCCTTGGCATATAGCTGGTGCTTAGTTAACTTGTGTTGAATGAATGAATAAAGGCTGCCCAGGCTTGATGGGGTGGGAGGAAACTGGGGGTTGACCAGCTGGTTCCCGCAAACAGGATACATCTGTCATGAATTTCTTCCCCACCACCGTTGTCTCCCATTCGGCATCCTGACTCTGACAGTGCCAATCAATCTGTATCATCTTCACAAGCAAGGAGGCGGTCCAGAACTCCTCAATGCCTTCATGACCCCTTGCAGGGTTCCATCAAGCCTCCTCTTTAGGGGCTAGAGTCCAGGGTTTGTCAGCATAGGAGTTAACTTCTCAGTTGTAAGACAAACCGCTCCTTTTTCCTTGCTGTCACTCTAAAGAGGTCTCATAAGGGAGAAGAGATAAATGCAGGTGCTTAGTCTTCCATCTAAACTGGGCGCCATACTGCCAAATCACAAAGAACCCCCAGACCAACAGGGTCTCCAGGGCTCACTGGGCCAGCAATTTGCCCACAAGGCTCCTGGACTCACAAGGCCATGAGAATGCCTCAGGGAATGGGATGCAGCATGAGAGGGAGGCCTCGAGGGTCTCAGGACTTTGCCTATGATCCAACCAAAGTTTCTCCACAAATATCTGCTTGTTTATATTGGGCTTCTTTTTTTTTTTTTTTTTTTTTTTTTTTTGAGACAGGGTCTCGCTCTGTCACCCAGGCTGAGTTCAGTGCTGCCATCGCGGCTCACTGCAGCCTCAACCTCCCAAGCTCAAGCGATCCTCCCACCTCAGCCTCCAGAGGAGTTGGGACTTCAGCTGCACACCACCACAGCCAGCTTTTTTTTTTTTCTTTTTCTTTTTTTCTGGTAGGGACAAGGTCTCACTATATTGCCTGGGCTGGTCTTAAACTCCTGGGCTCAAGAAATCCTCCTGCCTTGGCCTCCCGAAGTGCTGAGATTACAGATGTGAGCTACCATCTCCAGCCTACATTGGGTTTCTATGAAGACTTCACTTAAAGAATTACCTTGCTTTGATCTCTGATCTAGTTCAATCCCATTTGCCACATTTTATAAAGGAGACAACTAGGTCCAAATATTTGCCAAAGACCATATAGGGAGGAAGCACAGAGCCAGGACACCAATGTTTGACTCTTAGGTAAGAGTTCCTACCAAAACTGCTGATGACTTCCCTGCTGCCCCAGGAAAGGCTCTGCATTTAGAAAACATACGGCCTGCTAGGGACTTGACTCTAATAGGGACAGCTGAGAGGATAGTTGATGGAGTAAGGGAGAGGAGTTCACATCATATCACAATATCACAATTGATGCTACCACCAGGCCCAACCATTCTTCCTCTACCACCTGTGGCAAATATTTTACCCAAAGGAATAAACCCAACAGTATCCTTCAGCTGAGAACATTGACAGATCATACACATGGCAGTTTCAGAAAGCCCTCCAACGTTTCTTTTTTTTTTTTTTTTTTTGAGAGAGTCTCACTCTGTTGCCAGGCTGGAGTGGAGTGGCGCCATCTCAGCTCACTGCAACCTCTGCCTCCCGGGTTCAAGTAATTCTCCTGCCTCCGCCTGCCAAGTAGCTGGGACTACAGGCACACGCCTCCACGCCCAGCTAATTTTTGTATTTTTAGTAGAGATGGGGTTTCACCGTGTTGGCCAGATGGTCTTGATCTCTTTACCTCGTGATCCGCCTACCTCAGCCTCCCAAAGTGCTGGGATTACAGACGTGAGCCACCGTGCCCAGCCCCAACATTTCTTTAGAGAAAGATGGTCCCACTTTCACAGGCCAGCCAAAGTAAGGAATGATGAAGGATGGAAGATAACTCTTGACCCAAAGGGTATTTAAGCTCTCCCTGAAATTCGCTTCCTCCAGGAAGCCCTTAAGGATGACTGGAGGGGACAGGCTCCACACCAAAATGCTTTGGAGGCCGGGCACCATGGTGGCTCATGCCTGTAATACCAGCACTTTGGGAGGTCAAGGTGGGAGGATCGCTTGAGCCCAGGAGTTTGAGACCAGCCTGGGCAACATAACAAGATCCTGTCACTACAAAAACTAAATAAATAAATAAATAAATAAATAGACAAACAAACAAAATGCTGTAGATATGTGCCTGAGAGTCTCAGTTTCTGGACCTTGAGTTCAGATAGGAAAGTTCTAGCCATTTTTCCAGAGGATGTCCCTCTGGACAGCATTCTATTCATGTATGAGATGCTAGAACACAAATCTCATGTAAGAATCATTTCGGGAACAAAAGCCTCTGACTCACATTCATTCATTATAATCCAAATAAATCCCAGGGTCCCATGTGGCCCAGTTTCAAAGCAGCATCCATTTTAAAGAAACAACCACCTCATCATGCTTCCTGCAAGTCACCTTCCAAACAACTTACTTTGCGCATTCCCCCACAAAAAAAAAAAAAGGTAAGAAAAAGGAAAGAGTCCAGTCCCACAAGACTAAGTGTGCTATGAACTTAAAAGCACTGGTGAGTTATCAAAGAAATATTTTTAAAAGAGTAAAATGGTCATATTTAGGAAGGCCCATATAGCAACAGACTAGGAGGCATTATTGGAGTACGAATGAAAATCAGAGTGAGGCGTGATCAGGGCCTGACCTTAGGCAGAGACCTTGGAGAGAAGGGGATGCGTTCACAAAGTCAAGTAGGCAAACACAATCAACACCACTCTAGGACTGGCTAGATTTGGGGCGGAGAGTAAAACAGAAAGAGGAGTTTAGGTTTCTAACTGCAGCAATTGCATAGATGCTGGTTCCATTTTCATAAGTGAATACAGTAAGTTGAAGATTTTAGTGTCAGAGATGGTGAGTTTAACTTAGGAACATGCTTAATTTGAGGTCCTCATGAGGCATCCAAGCAAAGATCTGGGTGTGAATGGTGTGCTTGGGATGATATTGAGCTTTATCCCAGCCCTCCACTGCTAAAACCTCCCTTCAGAGAGAGATAGCTCTTTCTCTTGTTGCCCCTGCCACCAGCACGTTGTCCCCACCCCTTCCCGGATTTCAGCCTCTGATAAGCAGGTACAGGAAACTCACAACGATCTCACAACCGCTGTCCTTCCATATTCATTCCCCAAGAGCTTCAGAACCTCTGGAATCATCTTGCAGACCTTATGACGACCACCAAGACCTGAAATGGGGAAAGACTTCCCCGTCTTCTTCCAGGCATTCTATCCCACAAGTCTTCCTACACTGCTGGCAAGGACACCTCCAGCCAGCCTTCTGCTGGCTCTCCACACCAGAATCAGGCACAGATCTCTATGTGACACCAGTCAAGTAGCCCCCAGCACCCCAGCCCCAGCCCTAGGTTTAACTTTGTCTCCTCTTCCCAGTCTTTGAAAACTGGCCAATCCCAGAATCAAATGGATTCCACCAGGGTTGCCCCTATCCCACACTATGTGATAGCAGCCAACCATGGACACTGACTTGCCATTTAACACCCTCCAGAGAGGAGCTCCTTGCCTCCCCTTTCAGTTCCCACTGTCCCTCCCCTCTCAGAAAGGAAGCCCAAACCCAAGATTTTACTTTTGGTCAGCTGCTAGCTAATCCCTAGAAGCCACGTTGCTTTCG
This sequence comes from Homo sapiens, assembly GCF_000001405.40. Taxonomy (NCBI): domain Eukaryota; kingdom Metazoa; phylum Chordata; class Mammalia; order Primates; family Hominidae; genus Homo; species Homo sapiens. The sequence continues at coordinate 4,250,896 of NC_000020.11, read as the reverse complement.
TTTCAACTCACTATAGTAAGTTTCCAAAAACCAAAATAAAAGAAGATTTAATGGGGAAGGCCTTGGAAGAGCTGTTTCCAAGCTATGATTATAAAAGCCTTATCTTCCTGGACTGGGCAATGGGGAGGAGGGAGGCCACCCATCTCTAAACATTTCTGCAGTTTTTTACTTTTTCTCCAAAGCAGCTTCTCATCTAGAACTCAGACATCCTGCCCCTGTGTCAACCATAACCAGTGAACACTAGGGCTATGGGTTCTCCGTCCCCTCCCAGACACTTCTGCAAACAGGCCTTCATCTCCCTGGTAGGGCTCAAGCCCTCCTCATTCTGCAACTATGAGACGGCATTACCCTCCTTACAGTTAGTGTATCCAGCATGGTGCCTGCCACGTGCCAGCAGCCGGTATTTTTATGTTGGCTAACTGTATGATTTCCTTGTGCCTCTCCCTACCCAGTCCTGCTATTGCTCAAGAAGCTTCTCACACCCTCTCCCACATCTGCACCCGGGGTCCATACCAGCCCCACACCTCCTCGCCTTCCATCCTCCCTGTTAAAAGCCTGCCCTGAAGAAGCCCTACTCCGCTGACATGCCCAGGCACTGCTCTGGGGCCCTCACTCATATTTACTCAGTTAACCCTCAGGCCAGGAGGTAGACATCACTTCTTATTCTCATTTGACAGTTGAGGAACTGAGGCACAAAGAGGTTCCGCTGTTAATATGGGGCGGAGCCTGGATTCAGATGCGGAGCCAGACTGTCTCACACCCGCCCCGCTTAACCATCCTGCCAAGTGCCCTTTCCCACCCTCTGGCACTTAAACCCTCCCTCTTAAAAAGGCCAGAACAAGAACAAGGCCCCTTATTTAGGGTAGCTATAGAAAGGTTTATTCCCGCATCTGATACAGGGAAAAGTAACAGTGGGAAAGTTGGCGTATGTAGACCAGCGTGTCTTGGGCAGGGTCCGAGGGCTGTAGCCACAGCCTGCTGCTCCTGAGCCCATCGTACCCAGCCTCTGCCCAGCACAGGCTTCCGACCCTTCCTGGGCTCTCTTCACGCCATCGCACTGGACAGAGGCGTCTGAAACCCTGCCCTGGCCAGTGGCGTGAGAAAAAGGAGGTGCGGCAGATCCATGCGGGCAGTCCCAGGAGGCAACCCGCAGCGGCACTGCGCCGTCCGGTCCGCAGTCCGCAGATCCCAGGCGCTTGCTGCTCTCTGGCGGCCAAAGCCGGGATCCCGAAGACCCGGGACTCACGCCTTCAACGCACCGCGCGCCCAAGGGCACCAGCGAGTGACCGAGAGACTCGGGGGAGAGGGCGGGAGGAAGAGGGACGCCGCTGAGGGCCAAGGGGGAGGGGGTCCGGGAGAGGAGCGGGAAGGAACGCAAAGGGCACCGCTAGGGGAGAGCGCGGGCTTGGGCACCTGCGGAGAGGCGTGGGTGGCTGCTGCGGGACCCGAGCGCGCGCCAGCGCCGCAGCCCCCCGGACCCCGACACAATCGCTTGTCCTGAGCGAAGGGTCCCTTCTACCCTGGAGTGTGGCGCCCGTCTCTCGGCCCGGGTCGCCCCCTCCTCCTTCCTGGCGCTGCCCCTCCTCGGTCCCGCCCCCCGCGCCGAGTTGGGAGCGCCGCAGTGGCCGCTGCCTGCACCGCCCGGCCCCGGAGCCGCCGCTTTGCCCGCTTGCCGGGCACGCTCAGAGCGCCGCGCGCGTAGCGGGCCCCGGCTCTTCGGTGCTACTCCACGGCCGGCCTCGGGGAGCCCGGCCGCCGCCCGGGCCAGGCAGCTCCGCTCTCGGACAGCCGCGCTCCGCGTCACAGGAACTTGGGCAGGACCCCGACGGGACCCGTGCGCGGAGCTGCATCTGGAGCCCCGCGGCTATGCCCTGTGCTCCCCTCCCTGCCGGCCGCTCGTTCTGTGCCCCGGCCCGGCCACCGACGGCCGCGCGTTGAGATGACTTTCCGCGATCTCCTGAGCGTCAGTTTCGAGGGACCCCGCCCGGACAGCAGCGCAGGGGGCTCCAGCGCGGGCGGCGGCGGGGGCAGCGCGGGCGGCGCGGCCCCCTCGGAGGGCCCGGCGGTGGGCGGCGTGCCGGGGGGCGCGGGCGGCGGCGGCGGCGTGGTGGGCGCAGGCAGCGGCGAGGACAACCGGAGCTCCGCGGGGGAGCCGGGGAGCGCGGGCGCGGGCGGCGACGTGAATGGCACGGCGGCCGTCGGGGGACTGGTGGTGAGCGCGCAGGGCGTGGGCGTGGGCGTCTTCCTGGCAGCCTTCATCCTTATGGCCGTGGCAGGTAACCTGCTTGTCATCCTCTCAGTGGCCTGCAACCGCCACCTGCAGACCGTCACCAACTATTTCATCGTGAACCTGGCCGTGGCCGACCTGCTGCTGAGCGCCACCGTACTGCCCTTCTCGGCCACCATGGAGGTTCTGGGCTTCTGGGCCTTTGGCCGCGCCTTCTGCGACGTATGGGCCGCCGTGGACGTGCTGTGCTGCACGGCCTCCATCCTCAGCCTCTGCACCATCTCCGTGGACCGGTACGTGGGCGTGCGCCACTCACTCAAGTACCCAGCCATCATGACCGAGCGCAAGGCGGCCGCCATCCTGGCCCTGCTCTGGGTCGTAGCCCTGGTGGTGTCCGTAGGGCCCCTGCTGGGCTGGAAGGAGCCCGTGCCCCCTGACGAGCGCTTCTGCGGTATCACCGAGGAGGCGGGCTACGCTGTCTTCTCCTCCGTGTGCTCCTTCTACCTGCCCATGGCGGTCATCGTGGTCATGTACTGCCGCGTGTACGTGGTCGCGCGCAGCACCACGCGCAGCCTCGAGGCGGGCGTCAAGCGCGAGCGAGGCAAGGCCTCCGAGGTGGTGCTGCGCATCCACTGTCGCGGCGCGGCCACGGGCGCCGACGGGGCGCACGGCATGCGCAGCGCCAAGGGCCACACCTTCCGCAGCTCGCTCTCCGTGCGCCTGCTCAAGTTCTCCCGTGAGAAGAAAGCGGCCAAGACTCTGGCCATCGTCGTGGGTGTCTTCGTGCTCTGCTGGTTCCCTTTCTTCTTTGTCCTGCCGCTCGGTGAGTGACCCCTCTCCCACCGGCCCCTCCTGTTCTCCCTGAGCCTATGGCGGTGCCCTCCTGGCACCCAGACTTGGGCGACCCCCACCTGAACCTAGAAGGTTGACTTAGCAAGTCCTGAGTCTCCTAAGAGGCAGGTGTGCATGCACCATTTTGTGGAGTGCCAAGGAACGGTTCTTCATCCTCGCCAGGTTCGTTTCACAGGCTTCTAACTTTTCTGTCCTTCCCTTCTTCTTTTCCAAGCCTTGGGCTTATGCTGCTGGCCCCTCTAAAAATAAAACGTCTGTGAAAATCTGGGCGGGCATCTGCCCATATGTGGTCGGCAGTGTATGTGTCCCCCTACAGATCCCCCTCCCGGGAGGTGGGTGCACAGAGTGGGTGGGCCTACATGTGTTCATTCATGGGTAGCAAGCCCTGGCCAGTCAGCAGGTACATCAGCAGATGCCAGAAGCCACCCGCTTTTCCCCAGCACTCATTCAGTTTGGAAGCTGGCCCCATTTGGGACCCTCCCCAGCTGGTGTTTCTGAGTGCCCCGAGTTCTCATTTCTGAGATCCCCTCTTGGAAAGGAAGGAGGCTGAGTGGCAATGAGAAGCACAGGGATGGGGATAAATTATCAAATGGAAAGTTCATATTGTTAATCGTTATTTCTTGAGCTTACTGAGTCCTTGAGCTCTTCCGAGGAACTTTCCTGCTTCTTTCACAAGCTGTGCTGCAGTCCTGGGAGGTAGGCAGCTGTCTTCAGAGGCCGCCTCCTACCCCTTGAGGCCTGTCTTGGAAGCCCTGGGTCTGGGACTGGAGGCTGGACCAGTGCAAGGAGTAGTGGGGGAACAGCATCTCTGGGGATGAATTTGCCCGGGGTCAGATCCACCCATGGCTGCAACCTCCGCAGGCCCAAGCCGGGCCTTCTCTGCCTCTCCCAGGCCTGGACCCTTCCACACTGCCAGGCTGAGTCAGGAAAGAGACAATGGCCTCCTTCCTGTGCCCCCGGAAGCCCTTTCCACACTGCAGCCACAGTGAACTTTATATATTATAAATTAGATGTGTCACTCTCCTATTAAAAGCCCTCAATGCTTTCCCACTGTCCTGAGAACAAAATCCAAACTCTCTATCATCACCTATGAGAGGGTGACCTTCAAATATATTATTGTCCGAACCAAAATAGGACACTATGAATATTTACACTGGGACCACAGGCTGGAACTGGGGCCATGCAGACATGTGGTCCCCCTTCCTACAATGGAGATCTCAAATGAGAGCCATCTCCCTCTCTGCCCTCCCCCTCTCTGCCGTCACGGTCTTGCCGCTTCCCTCTGCTCTGGGCTCCTCCCCTCTGACCCTTTCTGGTTTCTTGCTGGAGCCCCTGCCTGTCCTCAGGCCTTTGCACTTGCTATTCTCTCCGACTTCGCTGTCCTTCCCAATCTCTCCTGGCCAACTCTATCCTTTAGGTCTTGGCTTAAATGTTCCCTCTTCAGAGGGACCTTCTTGGACCCATGACCCTCAGTGGTGTCCTTGTTTTCTCCCTTGAAGCACAAGGTTCGCTTCCTTCACTAGATCATTGGTTGTAATTACATCTGTGTGCTGCTTGTTTTGTTTCTGGGACTGGCCCAGAAGCTGTGTGAGGGCAGGGCTGTGTCACCTGGGTCATCACTGAGTCCACGGCACTCAGCATGGGCCTGGTATGTGGGGAGCAAAAGAGAGCACTGCAGTGAGGATCACAGGCTCTGGCGCCAATCCCAGCTCTGCCTCCCTCCCGCTAGCTGCGTAACCGTGGGCAAATCCCTTAACCCCTCTCTGCTGGCTTTTTTATCTATAAAATAGAGATGGGGTGATGGTAATCATGCCTATCTATAGGGCCATCGTGGAACTGTAGCTTTTGTAGTGGATACTCAATATAGGGTAAGGAATGAATAAGTAACCCTTGAAAATCATCCAGCCAAAGGTTGTTGCAGGGATGGGGCAAGCAACGGACCCTAAGCAACACACTAGGAGAAGCAGGCAAGTAAGCAGGGAAGAGAAAGTTGGTGCCCGCCCCTTTAGACATCCAAGCCCATCCCCCAGGCCCATCGCCCCAGCCCCTGCTCCAGCCTTGCCCAGCTGTGCTGGGCTCCTGGGTGCCCTCATTCAACCCCTGCCCCTCGGTTCACACTGGGCCCCTGTAGGGAACGCCCAACCTGTGTAGAATGCCAGCTCCCTGTTTTTTTTTCCTTTTAACTTCCTTTAAAATTTTAGCTTAATGCACAAATAAGGAGAAAACAATAAAACAAGCACCCACATGCCTGTAATCACCTATACTGAACAGATGTTAACATTTTGCCATATTTGCCTCAGACCCCTTCCTCTCTCTTTTCAAATAAATAGAACAAGCCATAACTAGATCCCCTCCTCCTGTCCCTTCCTCTTTCTCTCCCTGCCTCGCCAGAGATAAATCTGGAGTATATCACTCTTATACAGATGTTCATACTCTTACTACAAACATCTGTATCCATAATAATATACTGTTTTGTTTGTCTTTGAGATTTATATGAATGGCACCTTGCCATGCGTATCACCGTTCTTCAATTTGCCATTTCACCCAACATTATGTGGCTGAGATTTATCCATGCTGGGCCATTTTCACAGCAGTACATTTGAGAGTATTCCACAGTGCGTTGATCCTGCTGAATGTTAGGTTTTTCTAACTCTTCCTTGTTCCAATCAACACTGCAAAAGGCCACTGCTTTCTTTGAGGTCCACGTCACGTGACTCCCTCTTCCAGGAAGTCATCCCTTAATTTCCATGACCTTTGCTCCTTGCTGGCACGCACAGCTCTTTCTCAATCCTTACATTTCTGCTGCGCCTCACATGTGGTGTAGGGAATTGGGGGGTGGAGGAGGCCCTAAATCCTCCTTCCTAATGGTCTGTGCTGCACCAGGCTTCTCAGGGCACCTTTCCGAGTGCCTCAGAGCAGAGCCCAGGGACACTGGTGGAGCTGAATTGAGTTGAATCTGGCAATGATGAGCAAACAGGACAGAGGCCAAACAAGGAAACAAAATATTCCGATCTGCCCCAGTATGGCTTGGAGGGCAGAAGCAGCAGAGAGGGAGGGCAGAGCCCATTTGGAGCAGGAGGGGTCTGGAGGCTGTGCAGGAAGGAGAGGGGGCCAGGAGGTCCTGACACCCCCAGCATGAGGCCCAGGCCTGGGAGGAGGGAGATACCTTTGAAGGAACAGGGAACACTGAGCAGCAACTTTTGGGGGGAATGTGGACCCCCAGGGGCTGGTATATGTTGGTGTGGAGGTACCAGGTGTGTGGTAGGGGATAGAGAACATTGGAAACTTGGATGCAGGGATCAAAGATGGGGATGGTTGCAGGAGCATGGAGTGCAGTCTCCCAGAAAGAGGAGGAGAGAGAAAAGAGGATCTCAGGACAGAGCTTTGGGGAGCATTGACGTTGAAAGACCCAAAGGAGGCAGAAAAAGAGGCAGCCAGGAGGAGCAGGATGGCTGTTGAGGTGGCACCTGCCTCCTCCCAGGTCCTGGTCACCACACTAGCTGTGACGAGCACCAGAGACGGAGAGATTGAGAAACAATGTATATGCCAGCAAGGAATGGGCCCACATAGGCCCTGGAAGTAAAGGCACCCAGTAGGGCCACAGCAGACCTGGGGTGCCCTCACTCACACTTCCGCACACAAAGCCAGGTGGTAGCAGCAGCCACAGCGGCCTGGAGGGCATCAAGAGTCTCAGGGAAGGGCCCGGAGTTCCAGAGGAACATTGGCACTGTGAGCCATGGGCTGTCACCTGTAAACCTGGAATGCTGTGGTCAGGCCAGAGGGGCAGCACCACAGGAGGGCTGTCCTGAACTGTGGGGGCATCTAAGGACCCAAGTCACTGGCTGGGAGACACTGGGACACAGATGTGGGCACCTAAAATCCAGAGAATCCCAGAGAGTAGCTGGGGATCATCCCCTACACTTCCAGCTGCCCCGCTTTCCCTGTGAGGAACAACTGCAGAGCATGTCCCCAAGGCAGGCAGAGGGTCAACCAGCTCATTAGACCGCAAGTGCCCCGATGCTGCGATTTCAGGGAGCAAGGCTGGGGAGGGCAGCACCAGCTCCTCTGGGACCCCCAGGAAGCTGCTGGTGCCAGAGGTGCGGAGGTGCGTGTAGAACGCCCCTCACCGAGAGAGAGGGGAGGGCACCCTCCTGCCCACGTTCCGTGGTGATGCCCAGTTGAGCTGCCTGCTCCGTGCATAGTGACCCAGGACAGTCCCGTTCCTTGCCTGTGACCGGTGGGATAGCTAGTAGTGCTCCCCTTTCAGTCAGAGATGCTCCACTTTGGAGATAGAACGTAGTGACACCAATCCCTGGGGCCTGTGAAGGAAGTGCTCTTGGCAGCCCCGCCCATGCCAGGTACAATCCCCTACCCTCACCGCAGCAAGCTGGTGCGGGCTGGGTGCCACGGAAAATCACAGGGAATTGTCTAAATCTGCCCTCCTCATCGGGATCCTTCAGCCGGATGCCCCGAGGAGCCCAGACTTGTAGAGTGAGTGTGGGAGGGGCCGCAGTGAGAGCCTGCTGCCTGCGGACTTCCAGAGAGGACCCAGAGAGAGGGGGCGTGGCTGCGGCGGGGCTGCGTCGTTGGGACAGTTGGGTAGGTTGGAAAAGTCCCTGATAAAAGCCTCTGAAGCCTCTGCGCTGAGAAGCTTCGTGCAAGAATCCCCTGACCCTAGAGGTCTAGGCCAATTGTGTAGAATGCAGATCATCCTCCCTGCGGGTGTGAGGGGTACCGGAGGGGCTGGGGAAACCCTGCCCCAGGCAAGCACCCAACTGCAGAGAAGCTTCCTCCTCTCCCGGGAGCCTCCAGAGGCCCGTGTCCCTCCTGCGTGTTTTCATGGCGGCAGCATCTCACTGCGTTTGGGTTTGGGCTGCCTGGTAAGTGTCCCCCAGCCACGCCCAGAGGTGGACTGTCTGCCGAGACCTACATACACACACAAACACACACACACACACAACAGCCCCACCCCTGTCACTCCTAGTGACCACTCACAGCTCCCAGGCTTTCGATCCCAGCTCTCTCTTGTTGGGCAGATCACCGAGCATCACTGACCTCCACCTTCCAAATGCCATCCACTCAAAGCAGCCCGGAGACTCAGAGCCCAGGGCCCCCCTCAAATGCACCTCAAGGCATACAAGCTGGGCAGAGGCTCTGATATCAGAAGTCCCAGGACAGCCCAGCCAATGTCCCACTCCAGCCATCTGTGAGCCACACCTGAGCCTCTCTCCTATCTTGTGAGTCTGTGCTCTGTGATAGTGCCTGTGTCGCTGACCACCCCCAGACTTAGATGTCCCATGTGCTTCTGAAACACTCTGCATGTACTTTTATCACGATGCACTGTAACTGTCAATATTCAGATATGCATCATGAAGTGTGAGGGCAAAGGGAACTACACACACGTAGGCACAGGAGTAGCAGTATTGCTGGGTTGCTCTGTGGTTTGGGAGACGTAAAACGTGTAGCCTATGAGAAGAGGGGTCAAGAGATGAGGCCAGATGCCATCTGCAGGAGAATGGATAAATAAACCATGTATCCATAGACTGGACCACGGTACAAGGAAAAATAGCAAACTACTGATGCACACATGGATGAATTTCATGGATGTTATACTGCGCAAAATAAGCCAGGTCTGAAACTCAAGGTGTACACACCTTTTGATTCTGTGTAGATGAAGTTCAAAAACAGGGGAAACTTATCAATGGTGATAAAATCCAGGATAGCGGTTACCCATCTGTGTGTGTGCAGTGAGTGTACTAACTGGAAGAGAATGCTAGAAAACTTTCTGAAGGGCTGGGACAGTTCCATACCTTGACCTGGGTAGTGATGACATTGGTGCATGCATATGCAGAGCCATCAGGCTGTGCTGTGTGCTTCAGATACACACGCTTTCTAAATTTGACTGTCTACATGTTATGCCTTTGTTACAGTGAGAGAGAAGGCAGGAGGAGGCAGGGGGGAGGCTGTGAGCCCTGCTTAGTAATTGGTGTCCAGGCTGGAAGGCATACTTTGGTGGCCCCGTGCGGAGAGTGGATTATGCATATGTCTGAGAGTCGGCCAGGTGCTAAAGGACTCATCTCCACAGGCTGCCTGAGGTTGTGCAGGGGTCTGTGGATGAAGGGGAGAGGCAAGGGATGCTTTGTGCTAGGTCTTCAGTAATGGCATCATTGTCTCCCGGCCCAAAAGCCTGAAGAAAGGGCTGGCATTACATCTCCTACCTGTGCTTTGTGGCACCTGGAACATAATAGGTGCTCAGTAAATGTGTGCAGAAGAAGGAAACGGTAGAACCCATGTTCTATTCCCATCCTGCCACACCAAGGGTCTGGGTGGCAAAGCACAGCCCTCCATTTATTTATTATTTTAATTTTCTTTTATTGTGGCAAGAGCATATAGCATGAGCTCTACCCTCTTAACACACTTTTAAGTGTAAATATCATATCATTAACTACATATCATTAACTATGGATACATATCATGTGATACTGTTGCACATCAGACCCCTAGAACTCATCTATCTTGCCAAACTGAAACTTTATGCCCATTGATTAGCAATTCCCAATTTCCTAGCGCCCTTTCTCCCTGGAAACCACCATCCCACTCTTTGAGTCTACGCATTTGAGTATTTTAGAGACCCCCATGTAAGTGGAATCATGCAGTATTTCTCCTTCTGTGACTGGCTTATTTCGCTTAGCATAACAGCCCTCTATTTAAAGTCAACTCTCTTTACTTGTTGTGGGTTGGGGGTGAGTCCCCATTTTTGTGGCCTAAAAAAAAAATCTTTAACAGGACAGTTAATATTTATTGAGTAATTACTATGAATAAGCAATGAGCTAGGGTTGGGTTTTTTTCATGTTTTTAACATGGAAAGTTTCAAACACATACATTGATAGAGAGAACCCTGTTAGTATAATGAACCCCTGTGTACCTGTGACCCAGCTTCACCCCAAAGCTAACCTAGATTCTTTCCATCCTCACCCACTGTCCCATCACTGTAGATTCTTTTGGATTTTTGTTTGTTTGTTTTTTGAGATGGAGTCTCTCTGTCTCCCAGTCTGGAGTGCAGTGGCGCAATCTCAGCTTACCGCAACCTCCACCTCCCGGGTTCAAGTGATTCTCGTGCCTCAACCTCCCAAGAAGCTGGGATTATAGGTGTGCACCACCATGCCCAGCTAATTTTTGTATTTTTAGTAGAGACGGGGTTTCACCATGTTGGTCAGGCTGATATCAAACTCCTGACCTCAGGTGATCCACCCACCTCGGCCTCCCAAAGTGCTGGGATTACAGGCATGAACCACTGCACCCGGCCACTGTAGATTATTTTGAAGAACATCCAGATACAGTATCCCTTCATCTGTAAATCCTTCAATATATAGTTCTAGAAGATAATAACTGTAAAAAAAAAAAAAAAAAGCCCACAATCCATTATAACACATAAAATCATTTAATATCATCAAATATCTACTTAGTGTTGAAATGTTGCTGGCTGCCTCGTAAATTTTTGGTTGGTTTGTTTGAAGCAGAATCCACAGAAGGAGCACACGTTGCATATGGTCGATTTGCCTATTAGGTTTCTTTACTCGGTAAGCCTCCACTGCTTTTTTTTCTTTCCATTTATTTAGTGAAGACACCAGATTGTCCCCAGGTGTATCCTGTAGTTTGGAGTTTGCATCTCCACAGTGCCATTTAATGTGTCCCTCTGTTCCCTGTACTTCCTGGGTGCAGATTTGGCCTGGAAAGAATTCTTCTTTTCTGTGGTGTCAAGATTGACCAGAATTCATGTGCTGTCAGCCTGCTCTGTCCATTACAAAGTGACCCATCGGCCTTTCACCTGCTGGTTTTGGCAGCCATTGACCATGGCCTGGACCCATTATATCACTGGGGCTTGAAGTGGGGATATTCTAATCCTATCATACCTCCTTCATTTATTCACTAGCATTCTAAAATGATTTCACCACTAGCTGTTTGGTTAAATAGAATCTGTACAGCAAAGGCAGGGAAGATGTTCAATATTCCTCTTTATTTATCAGAGGAAGAGTCAGTTCTCTAGCATTCTTTCCAGACGTGACCACTGAGGCTGTTTGAGTACCATGGTAATGTCATTATTTTTAGACATCCTTGCTGTTCCAACACATCACAGACATCATTGTTTTGGGCTTGGCCAGTGGGTACTCCTTCCAGTTGGCTTCTGAGATCTTTGGCAGAACCTGGAGCATCTTGAGCTCTTCTTTGCTTTCTGATCTGATAAGATGCTTCAGGCTCAGCTTGCATTTTTTCTGCCCTAGACCTGGAATTAGCCATTTCCCTAAAGAGCCCTAGTCTGTTTCAATGGAAGATGACTGAGCTGTTCATTGATACTGAGTTGGTCACTGATTCAATGGACAGATCTAGGAAGTACATTTTATTTTCAGTAGAAGAAAAACACAACACTGATGGGGACTTCTGTCCTTGGACATATATTCCTCCTTCCCCTCCCCTGAAGATCTTGTCCTCTGCCCAGCTCCTGCTGATATGTTTGTCCCAAACATCTGAGGAACTGTTGATCACCCTGCTCCATTCATTAAAGATCTGGGCATCAGAATCACACTGTTTTTTCCTCACTCCCACCCCTACCCTGGTCATCAGTGTGACTCCACTGTACTGAGGCTGACCCATGATGACACTCTGGCCTTGAGACTACAATGACCTTCCCCTCCTCCCCTCCTCCAAGGCCTATGCCCTGGTCCATGTGCCCATTTTACTCTCCCTCCCCCAGAATCCTCAGTGAAGCTCTTCCTCCTGAGTCCATCTGCTCCTGTCCTCCCTGCTTGGTTCCCATTACACCTGCTCATCAACCCCAGCCTTGACCAAGCCTTCACCTCCCTGCCCTCACCTTGTCTCCCAGTCGATTACACATCCCTTCCTTAGTCAGCTAGTCCCAGAGGATGATCTGTTGCTTCATCCTCTCTTGCCGTCTTTAATTCCCTCACTTCCTCCTATTTCTGTGAGCCCCAGATCCTGAATTAGACCATTCCTCCCTATGATGTCCTGGTAAATGTTACACAATTGGCTCTGGGATGGAGGCTGATTTATAGCATCTGCCTATTTTCATGGTGTAAATATTCCAAAGAGAGCTCACAGCATTTCTGAAATTGTAGCAAGCTAGTGCAAACCAGGGTCTAGCTGAGCACTTGCTGTAGAAAAGTCACACTTTCCATAGTCAGGCTGCTGCCTCGAGGCAGCCCTCAGGGTCTCCCCATAAGTCCTGCAGATCCTCTGTAAGCTCTGACTCTCTCTCAACCCTTTTTCCTTTCTAAGGAGCCTTACTCTTTCAGTTACTCCTCAACCCTCTTTGTCTCCTACCTCTCTTCTGTCCACACATATAGCACATCGACATGTCCAGAGCTTTCTTAAAGATTCTCCCTCAATCCCATGGACCCTTTTGTCCTCAGCCTTCCCCCACTTAGCACTGTAGTCTTTTCCTCCCTTTCACCTACTTGTAAGCATATTCTTTGCTACTTACCCTCTTAACTCTTTTTTTTAAAGATTAGTAGCTGCTTTATTTTATTTTATTTGTTTTTTATTTTTTGAGACAGGGTCTTGCTCTGTCACCCAGGTTGGAGTGCAGTGGCATGATCTCCGCTCACTGCAACCTCTGCCTCCCAGGTTCAAGTGATTCTCCTACCTCAGCCTCCCAAGTAGCTGGGACTACAGGCACCCACCACCACGCCCGGCTAATTTTTTTTATTTTTAGTAGAGACGGGGGGGGTTTCACCATGTTGGCCAGGCTGGTCTCAAACTCCTGACCTCAAGTGATCCGCCCGCCTCGGCCTCCCAAAGTGCTGGGATTACAGGTTTGAGCCACTGCACCCAGCCGACCCTCTTAACTCTTAAAAGAATATCCTCTCAGGCTGGGCACGGTGGCTTGGGTCAGGATTTCGAGACCAGCCTAGCCAACATGGTGAAACCCCGTCTCTACTAAATAAATAAATAAATAAATAAATACAAAAATTAGCCAGGAATGGTGGCATGTGCCTGTAGTCCCAGCTATTTGGGAGGCTGAGGCAGGAGAATCGCTTGAACCTGGGAGGCAGAGGTTGCAGTGCAGTGAGCCGAGATGGAGCCATTGCACTCCAACCTGGGTGACACAGCAAGACTCCATCTCAAAAAAAAAAAAAAAAAAATCCTGACATTAGTCTTGATTAGGACACCTTTTCCCACCTGCCACATGCATCAGCCCTACTCAGGGTAGCTCCTGCCATTCTCACACCTGCCCCAGGGCTAAGGGCACACACTTCCCTGGATCTGCCTTGGCACTGTCACCGGAGGCTGCCAGATCCTCACATTCAGAGGGCTCTTTTTCTTTCTTTTTTTTTTTTTTTCAAGAGATGGAGTCTCTCAGAGCAGAATAATGGAGTGAAAATTTTGTTTTAATTGTTTTTAAAGAAAGAGACAGGGTCTTACTCTGTTGCCCAGGCTGGGGTGCAGTCGTGTGATCACAGCTCACTGCAGCCTCCAACTCCTGGGCTCAAGCAATTCCCCACATCTCAGCCTCCCCAGTAGCTGAGACCACATCTAGCTAGGGGTCTCAAAATTTTAAGTCCTTTCATTCACTCCTATATGTCAGTTTGTCCCTCTCCCCTTTCTTCTTATGACCCTTAATATCTCTCTCCCATCTCCCTCCTGGTCCTCTGGCTGCTCCTTCTCAGCCTTCCTCGGAGACCCCTCTCCCCTTCAGATCCACATTTCCAGACAAACCCTCTTCAGCTCCAGCCCCAAGTCCAGCTGCTAAGGTCCCAGCAGCCCCTCAGACAGCCTGTATTCATTTCCTGTTCCTGCTATAACAAATTACCATAAACTGAGTGACTTCAAAGAATATATTACCTCCCAGTTCTGAAGGCCAGAAGTCCTAACATCCAAGCCTCAGCAAGCCGCATTTCCTCTGGAGGCTCAGGGAGAATTCTCTCCCCGGCCCCTTCCACCTTCTAGAGGCCACTGGATGTCTTGGCTCATGGCCCTGCCTCCATCTATCCGCAGAATGGTCCGACTGCCGCTTCTGTTGCCACGTCTCCCTCTCTGGCTCTGAGCCTCCTGCCTCCCTCCTTCCTGTCTGAGGAGTCTTGTCATTACTTTGTGCCCACCTGGATTCTCCAGAGCAATCTGCCCATCTCAGGACCCCTGTGCAGGTGACATTCACAGGTCTGGACATCTTGGGGGCATTATTCCATCTACCACACTTCCACGCCCCAGCCACAGGGGCTCGGTCCTCTCCTAGGCCCACCTTTCTGCTTCTGCCCTCGAGCCTGCCACTTCCCCCAAATTCTTCATCTTGGCAAGTGGCATCTCTGTCTGTCCTCTGGAGTCCAAGCCAGGAACCTGAGCATCAGTCTCAGTTCCTCCTCATGCCCCACTCAGACACTCCAACCTCCCAAACATCCCTCAGTCTGTTCTGTTTTCCCATTCCCACTCTCCCACCTTAATTAACTAATTAATCACAAACCCATATATCCTGTGTGCCAGGTGCTGTTCAAATCATTTTATCCCCCTAACAGTCCTATGAGGTAGATGCTATTAGCAGCCCCATTTACAGAGGAGAAAACTGAGGCACCAGAGAGGTTGAGTAATATGACCAAAGTCCCCCCAGTTTATAAGTGTCAGAGCCGACATTGGAACCCAACGACTTTGGTCCCAGAGTCCATGTTATTTCTTGCCTGGGTCAGAGGTCGGCCTGGGGCCAGGGTTAAGGGCCATAGTTGGAAGCCATGTTTTCAGCTTTCCATCCCACCGAAGCCCTCAGCCCCTACACACATCCCCCAGGCTCACTTCCATGTCTTGGATACCGGCCAAGAGGGGATCTTGAGGACTGCCATGGGACATGGCCCCTTCCTGCATGGCTTGATCCTCTCCCAGACCCTGGCAGACCCCCAGAGTCCCTGAGGAAGTCTCTGAGTCCCTAAGCCCATCTCTGCCCCCGCCTGAGCCCAGGCCTGCCGTGCACCCCCCAGCCCCACCGTGCACCCTGAGCACGCTGGAGGGTAGGACTTCCCTCACTTTGCAAGTGGTCACCTAGGAGAACAGGGTCTTGAGTCTCTGAAAGCCAGTGTGGAGGCCAGTGGGCAAAGCCCAGGCGGCTCAGTGCTGGGACTCCCGGACAGCATGGTCACTGCCTGGGAACCTTCTCTCCCCGGGTATTAGTGCTGCTCTGCTCACACCCAGGAGCCATTTGTCAGTGTGGCCCCAGAGCCGAGAGGCTCATGCTTGGATCAGGGGCCAGCCTGGCCGTGGGGCAGAACTGCAGCCGTGGTCACTCAGAGCTTGGGGTGTGGCCATTCCAAGACCACAAATCAGGAAATAAGTGAGTTAAGAAGTGACAACAAAGAGGAGAAAGAAGGGGGAGGAAGAGGGAATGTGGGAAGAGAGAAGGGAGAAGAGGAGGGAAAAAAAGAGTCAAAGAGAAATGGGTGGGGCCTGGTGGAGACCTAGAGGATGCAAGAGGATGCGGGACAGGCCTATGGCTCATCTCCCTGAACTTGGGCTCCACCAGGCAGCCTCCGTTGCTCTAGGAGCTGCCCTCCCTTCACCTGCCCCTCAGCTACAGAAGGGAGTCTGGGGCCAGCCCCAGGTAGTTCAAGGATCCTGAAGCAAACACGAGGGCACAGAAGGACTTCTGACCTACACCCGGCGCATCTCAAGTGAAAGGACCCTGTCAGTTACCTCTCACCACAGAAAATTGGTGATGCAAGGAATGTGAGAGGCTCGGCTTGGTATAGCAGGCCCACGGTGCCCTCGACTCACCCCTTCGAGTCTTCACAATCCATTTGAGATCTGGACCATATCCAGGTCACCTCTTCCTGACAGGCTTCCATGACTGTGTCCCCTTCAAAATGGCCTTATCTCTTACCACTCTCCTCCTCCCCTTCTCCACTTTGGCGGTCCTAACTTCCCGGGTGTCTCTCCAACTTGTCAGGTACCCTGCTGCCTCAGGGCCTTTGCACATGCTCTTCCCTCTGCCTGGAATTTTCTTTCCTCAAATACATGCATGGCTCACTCCCTCACAGGGTCTTCAGGTCTTGGCTCAAGTGTACTGTATTAGAGAGGCTCGCTGACCCTTTATAATGTAGCGAAGAGGCCTGTGAGGGGCAGAGGTCCCAGCCTCTCCTGGGGAAGGCTGCTACTGAGCTCCAAGGTTAGGGCCGTTGCGTGAGCAGCTGAGCAAACTGGGGGAGAGGAAGGGAGTCTGGGGCTGGGAATTCCTTCTCTCCTAGCCCTGCTGGCAGGGTGGGAGGAGACTGAATATCTAGAAGGATGGGGTATTTTTACTCCTGTGTATCTCTGTGGACAGGGGAATGGCTTACTATGGATAGAAAAGTCCCAGTGGAGGACAGGGTAGGAAGATGGGGGAGGCTGGGGTGCAGCCTGATATTTCATGGTCATCTACAAGTTATGAGCAAGGCTGGCTGTGAATTCTGACAATCTGCCAAGAACAAGTTCCTTCTGGTGATGCCAAAAGAGTGCTATTAATCACACAGTCCGCCCCTTGACTTCAGCGCCGTCTGTCCTCAGCAAGGCTTGGCCAGTCAGTTGCTCAGCTCCAGCCATGTCCCTCCCTGCCTTAGCAGCGTCCCAGCAGCTCCTGCAGGCCTGGCCATTCCTGTTCCTTAGGAAAATGGACTGGCTTATGATAATCTGGGCTGTAAACAAACCCCCTGCTTCAGTTTCCCCAACAATATGTGGGCCAGGCTGGCCCAGCCAACAAGCCAGAGAGTGGCTTTTCTTGCTGACACAGGAGAGGCCTCACCTCTTCTGACCAGAGGATGCCCAGTCCCCCAAACGTTAGGTTAGACTCCTGACACGGGCACCCCAATACAGGGAATGGGGAAGGCAGGCTGGAGCAGCCCAGCCAGCTGGATGGCGACTCAGCACATGGGAGAACAAGAACAAGAAACAGAGAGGAGCGGGCAGGAGTTCTGTTTTTGGTCATCTCCTCCCTGCGTCCTTACTGGGTCTCCTCAGAGGTGGGTTCATGCAGCCACACTCACCCCCCCACCCCACTGCAAGCCTCCTGTTGAATGGGGAGAAATGAACACAAACGTGCACACTCAGGCCCCACCTTTCCCAGCAGGGGGCAGAAGAGTGATGATGGCCACTAAGGGCTAATCCCTGGTCCCAAGGTTTTGGGGACCACGAAAAGCACTTGAAGACGTGACACTGCACTGACAAAGAATGTCTTGGGTCGGGTTCCCTAGAAGCAGCGTTTGAGATAGGGGTTCTTCTTGAAGGATTTTTTTTTCTAACAGATCTCATGGTGCTAGGTGATCTGTTCTCTTGTTGAGACAGGGTCTCAAAAAAAAGGCAGGTACATGCAGCCACCATGCAAGTGGCTGCATGTACCCACCTCTGTTGCCCAGACTAGAGTGCAGTGATGCAATCATAGCTCATTGCAGCCTCAACCTCCCACGTTCAAGTGATCCTCCCACCTCAGTCTCCCAAGTAGCTGGGGCTACAGGTGTGCACCACCACACCTGGCTAATTTTTATATTTTTTATAGAGATGGAGTTTTACTATGTTACCCAGGCTAGTCTGGAACTCCTGGGCTCAAGAGATTCACCTACTTCGGCTTCCCAAAGTGCTGGGATTTATATGCGTGAGCCACCACACCCAGCCTGGATGATTTTTTTAAAAATAAATATTTTATTTTATTTTTTAGAGTCAGGGTTTCCCTAAATTGCCCAGGCTGGGTTTGAACTCCTGGGCTTAAGCAGTCCTCTCGCCTCAGCCTCCCAAGTAGCTAGGACGGCAGACATGCATCACTGTGCCCAGTTAGGAATTTTTTGAAAGAGGAATTTCAGGAGACACCTGTGAGGGAGGGCGGGAAGCCAGAGGGGAAGAGCTAAAGCCAGGGTGTGGTTGAGGCAAAGCTTGGCCTTAGCCCGACCCCACAGGGATCCCTGGGGCAAGAAAGGCAGAACTGGACTGTGCTGAGGCAAGGGGGCCGGCCTTCTCTATCACCACATCAGTCTGTCATTGGCTGCAGGCTGTCCCCTTGGGAAGCAGGTGTCATGGACCCAGTTGAAGCAGCTCCCATTGACTGAGGGCAGTTGTCCAGAGAAGGGGCAACAGCTAGCCTCTGACTGCCAACACAGCACCTGGGGACCCCTGGGCAGGGCACCAACATCATCTGACTTCAAGCCTGAAAGGGACTTTGTGAGCAAAGACTTGAAGGAGTTGAAAGAGATGGCCAAGCAGCTCTTTAGGGTTTCTCCCAGGAGTTTGGGGTCATTCTGATACTCTCTCCAGCTAGCAAGCCCCACCCCAGCCCTTCTGAGCAGTCTGGATGGATGGACGTGGAGCTGAACCTGATGTGGCATGCCCTGCAAGGCGCCCTTGAGGACATACAGGCCAGCAAATGCCACACGGCCTGGTGTAAGCAGAATGAAGCATGCTCCGAGCACGCACACTCCAGAAGCCGCTATCACCCCTCAAACCCCAGTGGAGCAGGCAATCACAGGAACACCCTTGGAGAAGGTTCTAGGCTGAGTTGAGGCTGAGCTCCAGGGGAAATGCCCCCTATGGAGAGAGGAGGAGGACTAGCCTCCTCGCCAGACCAGCCTTGTGAAAACCCAGAGGCTGCCGGGCGCAGTGGCGAATGCCTGTAATCCCAGCATTTTAGGAAGCCGAGGCGGGTGGATCACCTGAGGTCAGGAGTTTAAGACCAACCTGGCCAACATGGCGAAGCCCCGTCTCTACTAAAAATACAGAAAATTAGCCAGGCGTGGTTGTGGGCGCCTGTATTCCCAGCTACTTGGGAGGCTGAGGCAGGAGAATTGCTTGAACCTGGGAGGCAGAGGTTGCAGTGAGCCAGGATCACGCCATTGCACTCCAGCCTGGGCAAGAGAGCGATACTCTGTCTCAAAAAAAAGAAAAAAGAAAAAGAAAACCCAGAGGTGGGATGGGCTCACTGCTGGTGGGGCAGCTGCCAGGAAGAACAAAGGGAGTGGCTGTGCCTCCTGAACCCAGCGCCCCTAGAAGCCCAAGGGGAGTTCTGTTTCTCTGTTTAAGTGATGTCAGGAGAGGACCAGGAGCTTTGGGACTAGACCAACTCAGATGCATGTCCTGACCCTAAGGGCTACTTGCTCTCTGGGTAACTAGAATCATTCTGCAAAGCGGGATGCCATGAGGATTCATCGAGAACTACATAAAAGGCCCAGCATGGTGCCTAGAAGGTACTGAACACTCGGAAAGCGTCAGCTCCCTTTTCCTTCCTCTGCACATTAGAGGCCACCTATTCAAGTGCCATTTACTTGTTCATTCAAGATATTTCAGAGTCCCTGCTTCGTTCGAGTCAGGCACTTGTGCTAGAGGCTGGGATAAAAAGAAAAACATATTGGACAGTGCAAAAACATGCCTTTTAGAAAATTTCTCAGGCCAGACATGGTATCTTACTCCTGGAATCCCAGCACTTTGGGAGGCTGAGGCAGGAGGATCATTTGAGGCCAGGGGTTCAAGACCAGCCTAGGAAACAGAGCAAGACCCTGTCTTTACAAAAATAATAATAATAATAATAATAATAATAACAATTAGCCAGGTGTAGTGGCACATGCCTGTAGTCCCAACTAATTGGGAGGCTGAGGCAAGAGGCTCACTTGAGCCCAGGAGTTCGGTGAGCCATGATTGCACCACTGCACTCCAACCTGGGTGACAGCAAGACCCAGTCTCTAAAAACAGAAAGAGAGAAAGAAAGAAAGAAAAGAAAAGAAAAGAGAGAGAGAGAGAGAGAAAGAAAGAAAGAAAGAAAGAAAGAAAAAGAAAGAAAGAGAAAGAGAAAAGAAAGCAAAGAAGGAAAGAAAGAGTCCCATACCTGCCTTCAAGAAACCAAGAGTCACATAGAGTAGATGGAGCAATAGCAAATTGTATGAACCTGTAGTTGCACGGGAAAGGACAGCTGAGCCAGGCTGGGTGGGGAGACACCTGACCTGGGGCTGCAGGGACTGGGGGAGGAGGCTCCTGGGAGCAGCAAGTCCTGGCAGAAAGGCAGAAGAAGCCCAGCTATGTGGGAGGATCTGCTTGAGGCTTAACGTGGCTGAATTTGGAGGAAGGCAGGACAAAGACAGCACTGGCCCTAGAAACGTTGTGTTTCCTTGTGAGCAGCACCATGTTTCGATTGATTCCTCTGAGCCACAGGAAGCCACTGACAGTTTTCAGAAGGGAAAGGAGAGAAACCAAGTTTTAAGGAAAAGTCTCCCAGCAGCTGTGTGCAGAGTGGAGAGGATATGGGTTGAGGCCAGGGGCTGTGAGGCCAGGGGCTGTCAGGGGCTGCTGCCGCCACCTAAGCAAAATGAAATGACAGAGCAAGCCAAGGCTTAACAAACACAGTGAAGTGCAGGGGACCTGCTAAAAAGGACATCTACCGCACAGGACGTGGTGACCAGTTGGATGTGTAGGATACAGAGGAGGGATTCATTCAGCAAACTCAGCAAGTGTTATGCACCTGCTGTGTGCTTGATATGCCTGTGAGGTCTTCTTGGCAATGGGAATGCAGCACCAAGCAAAACAGACCCTGGCCCCACCCCAGGGATGTTCATTGCAGGGAGATAGATGATAGACAAATGCATCATGACTCAAATAGGACAGAAGGTGACAAGTACCATGAGGCATAACAGAGCAAGCTGAGCCAGACAGGGAGCACAGGGTTAGGGGATATTGCAATTGTGAATACGAAGTCAGTGTGATCTCATCACAAAGGTGAGGGTGTGAGCCACATGGATATTGGAGGAAGAAAATTCTGGGGAAAAAGTGCAAAGGGCCAAGGTGGGTGTGCATCTGGCATGTCCAAAAAGCAACAGGGAAGGCAATGTGGCTGGAACAGAGTAGGCGAGGGAAGGAGAGGAGAGGAGAGATTTGGGGGGACATGTTGAGCTGTGTAGGTCATAGGCTCTTGCTAGGAGGAGGCAGAGGAGCTGTTGGAGGGTTCTGAGCAGAGGAGTGACGTGACCAGTCTTTTCAGTCTTTCTAGCTGCCAGGGTGAGAAAAGATTCAGGGGGCAGGGGCACAAGCAGTGAGGGGGCTGCTGGATTCATCAAGGCAAGTGATGATGGTGTCTCAGACAGGGTGGGAGGGCGCATTGAGGGTGGGTGGTTGAGTTCCAACCTCGTCTCCTTCCTCTCTGCCCTCAATCACTGCATTCTGTCCACACCAACCTCGTCATCGTTCTACAAACATACCGGAGCCACCTCAGGGCCTTTGCACTTGCCGTTTCCTCTGCTGGAATGTTCCTCCCCAGATCTCCACACACCTCATTCACTCACTTCATTCAGCTCTTTACTCAAATGTCACATTCTCATCAGGACTTTCCTGGCCACCTTATCCAGAATTTATACCACCACCCCTAGCCACATATCACAAGCACACTCGCCCCCATCTTCCTTCCTGCTTCATTTTTTTCTCCTTAGTATACCTTTACTCTTTGATACCTTTACATTTTCCTTGTTTATCCTGTTTATTTCCTGTCTTCCCCAGTGAAATGTAAGCTTCATGAGGACAGGATAAGTGTGAGATCCACTAGACTCCCAAGTGGAGATGTCTAGGAGGCAGCTGGATCTATGAGTCTGGAATTAAGGAGAGAGGTCTGAGCTGTAAAGTCAATATTTAACACCATGAGCCTAGATGACACTGATAGGAGAATGCAAAGACAGGAAACTGCAAGACTAAATGAGGCGCTCCTACATTTAGCAGTGAGGATGTGAGGAAGGAGCAGCAAGGAAACTGACAAGGAGTAGGAAAAACCAAGAGACTGTCATCCGGGAAGCCACAGATGAGATGAGTGGCACCCAGGAGGATGAGGGCAGTGTCTACAGGTTGAGGGCCTGGGAGGGGTGGAACATGTGGGGCAAAGCAGCAGAGCAGAGTGAGGTCAGGTGGGGACAAGGAGACTGTAGGTGAGGGCTGGAGACGTGGAGAGAAGAAGGTGGTGGCCAGGGAGCCAGCAAAGGGGCAGCAGCTGTAACCAAGGCAGGCTTGTGGGTGGCTTAAGGATCGAGGGCTCCACCATACAAGTAGGGACACTAACCTTGGGTAGGAGGAGCGATCCCTTCCTTACCAAAGAAGATGAGAGGTGCAGAAGGCTGGGCGAGTGCCTAGTTTCTGTGGCCTCTGCTTTCCCTGTGAAACAGGAGGTAAGATCAACTGCTCTGGAGAAGAAGGGGCAGGCTGCAAGGCTTGGAAAGAGGGGTAAAGATTTGGTATAGGAAAGGTTACACTGTAGGTAACTATATGTTCCCTCTCTATTTCACCATTTAAGGCTAAACTCCTCACACCGTGCTTGGCACGTAGTAGGTGCCTCATACATTCTTGGACTCTTTGTATCACACCTTGCACCTCATCCATTACCAACTCCTTTAGGCTGCCAAATCCCCCCAACTTTGCACTACCTCCTTAATGCCACCTTGATCAACACTTCCATCATTGTCTACCTGCGATGCAGTAAAGAGCCGGTAAAGGAAAAGGGAGAGAGCTGGCAGAGGACAGGAGCCTAGATCACTGGAAATATGGGACATAGAGCTGAGGTCAAAGACCCCAAGCGTGTTCAAGGAGCGACTAAATTGCTCCAGAGTCAGGATCTGGCTGGATGAGTCTCCCTACATCCAGAAGGATGAGGGGGTTGGTGGAAAAGAGAACAGTTAAGGTGCTGGTGAGTAGGAGTCTCAGCTAAGCAGAGAAGGAGGAATCCAAGGAGCTGGCAGGAGGTCAAAGTACAGATAAGGAAGAGAGAGAAAAGACAGGAAGTTGCACTCAGTGGCTAATGGATTTTAAGTGAAGAAATGAAATGCTCAGGCTTATATTTTAAAAGGATCCCCAGCTGTGTACAGAGAGCAAGCTTCGGAGCCGGGGGCGGGCACAAGGCAGGAGCAGGAAGGCCGCTTAGAAAGGCACTGCAGGGGCCAGGAGCAGTGGCTCACGCCTGTAATCCCAGCACTTTGGGAGGCCAAGGCAGGCGGATCACCTGAGGTCAGGAGTTCAAGACCAGCCTGGCCAACATGGTGAAACCCCCATGTCAAAAAAAAAGAAAGAAAGAGAAGAAAGAGAGAGAGAGAAGAAGGAAGGAAGGAAGGAAGGAAGGAAGGAAGGAAGGAAGGAAGGAGGGAGGGAGGGAGGGAGAGAGGGAAGGAAGGAAGGAAGGAGGGAAGGAAGGAAAGAAAGGCACTGCAGGTAGACAACGATGGTAGCCTGGACCAAGGTAGTAACATGAAGGTGATACAAAGAAAGTCGAGGGGACTTAGGGGCCAACAGGAGTTGGTGATGGATGAGCTGCAAGGTGCGATACACAGAAAAGAGTCCAAGAATGTATCAGGTACCTACTAGATGCCAAGTGGTAGGAAGAGCTTAGCCTTTAAAGGTGAAATAGACAGGAAACTGATCGTTACCTATAGTGCTTTAGGCACTTAAAAGGGAGAGTGATGTGCTGCGGGTGGGAGGAGAGTAAAATAGCTCAGCTGGGTCAGGAGCGAGTGGTGTAAGAGAGACTTCAGAAGGAGATGCCACTGGAGCTAGCACTACCAGATATAGAGGAAGGGCATTCCAGGATAATCATGTGCAAGAGCCCAGAGGCAAGACTGGGGAGCCCCTTGTGGCCAGAGTGCAAAGTGAGTCAGCCTGGCCACTTGGCTGTTGCACATGAAGACAGAGGACTGCAGAGAGACATTGGAGCCACAAAAGAACAAGGCCTGTGAGCCAAGTGCCCATGCTCAGGGGTCTTGGGGCAGTTCCCCATTTCACACTCATGGTATGCCACGGAGAGGAAAATGCCCAGTTGTCTTTCTGACTTCCAGAGATCCCTGCATGAGGCTGTGGGCCCATGAGAGAATGCTGAGGGGTGCAGTCAAGAGAGTGGGCAAGTGCAGGGCGGTGTAGGTGGTGGATTGGAGCACTGTGGGCAGAGGCAGGTGTGAAATTCAAACCGGCATCTGTGAGCGGAACAGGAGAAGTCTCTTGAGAGCCGCTGCCTGCGGAATCTGGAGCCCAATGCACAGATTGTTTGTATTTCCAGGCAACATGTCTGCATGCAGTGGGCAGAGAACACATAAAACAAAGTTGTGGCAGATGCCACTGGTTCCCCACCCATCTCCCCCAGAGCTTTAGTGCATGAGGGCCAAATTCTGTTAGAGCACTTGCCTGCATTTCTTTGCCCAGGGACTTTCTCTGCACACTCATGTGGCAGAAAGGAAGTGTGGAAAATTAACACCCAGAGGGAGCAGCCCAAACAATGACTGATGGGAATGGGCGTATAAATACCCCACCTCCCTCACTCTACTGGTGTGAGAACACTGAGGTTTGTGCTCTTCATAGCCATCCAGAGCTCCCCCATTGCCCACAGTGATCCGTAACTTGATAACACACTTTATTGGCTTCCTTCTTTTCCCTGATTCTTCTTCCCACTCACTCAAGCTGTTTCATTTACCTCCCAAATTAAAAACTTGTATTTCTACTCTTGTCAGTCTGCTCTGGGAGAGCCCAAAGTAAGACAAAACCTCAACAGGATACAGTGGGAAAACCTTGGGGCTGAAAGGCTGAGTTTGTATTACAGCTCCTTCTCGTGTAAGGACTTCCCAGCTCACAGCAGACTTCAGGTTGGTTGAGCATAAATTACCATATTAATGTTTACAACATGACCTGGCCATACTACAATATGCCATGTTGCCCACCAGTCTGAATAAAAACCATGCAATAACAATGCCCTTTGGCCAGCTTCAGGCTCACCACTGAAAAGCATAGTCCACTGATTTGTCATCCTGGGCTAAATATAAAAGAATTGTAGCTTGAGTCAGAAGGCTATTTTCAGCACTCTGTCTTAGTTCGCGGCCATTGAGCGATGCTGTTCTTGAGGGCCACTTTCCTGGAGGCTGAGGTCAACACTAGTGGCCCCCACATTCCAGGGATGGCCCAACCTCTCTCCCGGGGAAAATAATCTCTTTCACACATCCTGACTAATGCGCCAGTGGCCCCTAAAACCCACTAGGTCTCAGCTGCTGTTTCTGGCCACTCTCCAGAGCTAGAAACTGGGTCCCTTCCCAGATGTGAGTTCTCTTCACTCAAAAGCCACAGAAATGGAGGTAAGTAATAGATACTAATAAACCAGGCACGGTGGCTCACACCTGTAATCCCAGCACTTTGGGAGGCTGAGGCAGGCGGATCACTTGAGGTCAGTAGTTCAAGACCAGCCTGGCCAACATGGCAAGACACTACTACAAATACAAAAAGTAGCCGAATATGATGGTGCACCCCTGTAGTCCCAGCTACTCAGGAGGCAAGGGGATCACTTGAGCCCAGGAGGTGGAGGTTGTAGTGAGCCAAGAGCGTGCCACTGAAGTCCAGCCTGGGTGATGGGAGAGAAACCCTGTCTCAAAAAAAAAAAAAAAAGAAAGAAAAAAAAAAGTAATAGCTACCAATACTTTTTAAGAGCCTGCTAAGTGCTGGGACCTAAAATATATGAATCTTCACAAAATTCCTTCTAGAAAAATAATATTAAAAGGAAAGTAAGACTTAGATGGGCCAGGCACGGTAGCTCACGCTTGTAATCCCAGCACTTTGGGAGGCTGAGGCAGGCAGATCACGAGGTCAGGAGTTGAGACCAGCCTGATCAACATGGTGAAACCCCGTCTCTACTAAAAATACAAAAATTAGCTGGGCATGGTGGTGCGTGCCTGTAGTCCCAGCTACTCAGGAGGCTGAGGCAGGAGAATTGCTTGAACCCAGGAGGAAGAGGTTGCAGTGAGCCGAGATCGCACCATTGCACTCCAGCCTGGGTGACAGAGCGAGACTCCATCTATTTAAAAAAAAAAAAAAAAAAAAAAACTTAGATGGCCACATAACCTGCTTAGGGCCACATGACCAAGGTTTGAGAAGCCTGTGCCATATGATGCTATGGGACCCTCCTCTTCCCCTGCGGTGTCTCTTAGCACCAGAAACTGTCTCTGTATGGTGGGAGGAGGGGTGATAAGCAAAGCCGATATTCCCCAGGTCAAAGAGAGGGGAATGGTGCCTCTGCCTCCTCAGTAGGGATCCCTGCTCTTTTTTTTTTGAAGGCAAGAGGAAGAGAGAGAAGGTCCCATAATTTGTTAAGGACCCCCCCCTACCCCTGGCCTGCTTGGTCTCACAGGCACCTGCAGCCTCTATCCAGGATGGAACACCCCTGGCCCGCTTGGTCTCACAGGCACCTGCAGCCTCTATCCAGGATGGAACACCCCTGGCCCGCTTGGTCTCACAGGCACCTGCAGCCTCTATCCAGGATGGAACACCCCTGGCCCCCTGCTTTCTTGCCCCTACTGCTGCTGAGGGTGAGTGAGGTTGAAAGAGTGGCCTCTGCTGCCTGGATTGTGCCTTTGCATTTGGTCATGTGCCTTTCTGGAAAAATGACCTTTTCTGGGTCCATGGTATGGATGTCAGGGGAGATGTTTGTGGAAAGGAGGGTCTTCCTGGCACAGCTCAGATCCTAGTGCCCCTGCCCCATCCTCCCTGGCACTCTCCTTTTTCAAAGCCATCCCAGAAGCCTTTCCTGACCACTTCCACTGGAACAGCCCCATTGCCCTGCATTTCAACAGCCCATGAGCAGTGTGTTTATGGAGGCTTAATTCCAGGCTCTATCTCTCACCTGCTTAAAAATATTCGCGGCCCCTAAGCATCCACAAAATAAAAGCTGAACTTCACAGCATGTAAGCCCCTTCACTATTTGTCCCAAAAGAGATTTTCTGAGTTTATCCTATAGGATATTCCCAGGACCCAAACTTGGTATTTTCTTGCCCGCCTGTCCTTCCCACCTGTAATACCCTCTGCCCTGCCTCATCCTGGCTGACCCCCCTAAGCTGTCTCTGAGCCTGTGGCTGCCACCCTACATGCACACACAGCTGCAGTGGGGAGCTACAGTGGGAATTATGTCCTGTTAAACCTGTTGTAAATTGAAAATATCATAGGTCAAAATGCATTTAATACATATAACCTACTGAACATCATAGCTTACCCTGGTCTACCTTAAACATGCTCAGAACACTTACATTCACCTACAGTTGGGTAAAATCATCTAGCACAAGGCCTATTTTATAATAAAGTGTTGCATATCTCATGTAATTTATTAACTACTATATTGAAAGTGAAAAACAGGATGGTTCTTTGGGTACTTGAAGTATGGTTTCTACTGAACGCGTATCACTTTTGCACCATTGTAAAGTCAAAAAATTAAGTCGAACCATCAAAGTCAGGGACTGTCTACACTGAGCACCACCATCATCACCCCACCTGCATCTCAAAGATATTTATTCACATTCTAGCTGGGAAATAAGGGCCATGTGTAATGCCTCCTCGTGTGTGTGAGCCCAGCACAGCACCTGGCAGGGAGCAAACCTTGGCCAACATTTAATTCGAGGGTCCTTACCCCTTTTTGTTACAGACTCCTTAGGCACCTGGGGAAGCGTATGGGTCCCTTCTCAGAGTCACGCTTTCAAAAGCATAAAACAAAATACAAAAGATTACAAATGAAACTGATTTTATTGGAAAAGCCATCAAAATATTTTTACAGGAAATGCGTGACTTGCTAATGAATATGCTTCTGCATTAAGGTATTACATAACAAGATCTAGTTCAATTGTTCTAGGACCATTTGCTGAAAAGACAAATGAAAAGACTACCCTTTCTCTATTGAATTATCTTTGTACCTTTATCAAAAATAAATTGACTCTGTGGGTCTAAAAAAAAAAAAACAAGATCTAGTGGTGCATTCTAATGACTGTCATTTCCCAAAAGTGAGGAGCATAGAGAATATTTCAAAACATCTGCAACAACTGAAAGTGATAGGAAAATATCCGTGGGGACGGCTAATGTTCGTTTGAATCATATTATCAATTAAAGAAAAAAAAGCTTTTAAAAAATTAACATTAGTTTTATTTAGAAGTCTTATTGAGGACTATAGACTAAGCCCTGTAGCCCAGCCCTTCAGAGAGGTTATATTAGACTGCTCCAGCACAGTAGTTTAATCTACTGTTTATATATAGGTAGCGCGGGTTCCATATGTACAAAATTTTATTGAACTTGCTCAGCAATTCTATTAAAGCAGAATTATATTGAGTTTTGGGTGTAAGAGTATATCTGTTCATAGCAGCATAATTACTAGCCTGGTCAGACGTTATCTTCTGTGTAGGAAGAGGCAAGGACTAGGGTCATTTATCATTTCAGGAAAACAGTGACTCAGACAGGAGATGTGGCAGGGAGGCGGGGGCGTATGTTCTATCCTATTTTATCTTCAAAGCATCTTTCCAGAGAGCCGTACTTTGTCACAGAGTCGGGGACTTTGTGAAATTATGCTGGCACGCAGAAATGAGCAAACATGGCTATGTTTGCTACTTTGTCTCATAATACGAAACTGCCAATATTGCACCGGTTTTGAGCTACAAAAACAGCAATTGCACGTGGTTTTGTCTAACTCTACTCTGGTTTGTTGCCTACATTCATTGAAGGTAATCCTCAATATCAGGTAGAGGTGAGTGAAAACAATTATTATTTTTCTCTATCCAAGTTCATGGACCTCCTGATTTACAGCACGGATCCCTTGAGAACTCCTAGTCAATGACTCAGCCAAGGCTACTGAAGGGTCTCCCCTTTGCGCCCAGAGCCGCCTGGCCTCCCCCTCCCCAAGCAGCTAAATAGTATCGGTCTCTGCTCCCTACAGGCTCCTTGTTCCCGCAGCTGAAGCCATCGGAGGGCGTCTTCAAGGTCATCTTCTGGCTCGGCTACTTCAACAGCTGCGTGAACCCGCTCATCTACCCCTGTTCCAGCCGCGAGTTCAAGCGCGCCTTCCTCCGTCTCCTGCGCTGCCAGTGCCGTCGTCGCCGGCGCCGCCGCCCTCTCTGGCGTGTCTACGGCCACCACTGGCGGGCCTCCACCAGCGGCCTGCGCCAGGACTGCGCCCCGAGTTCGGGCGACGCGCCCCCCGGAGCGCCGCTGGCCCTCACCGCGCTCCCCGACCCCGACCCCGAACCCCCAGGCACGCCCGAGATGCAGGCTCCGGTCGCCAGCCGTCGAAAGCCACCCAGCGCCTTCCGCGAGTGGAGGCTGCTGGGGCCGTTCCGGAGACCCACGACCCAGCTGCGCGCCAAAGTCTCCAGCCTGTCGCACAAGATCCGCGCCGGGGGCGCGCAGCGCGCAGAGGCAGCGTGCGCCCAGCGCTCAGAGGTGGAGGCTGTGTCCCTAGGCGTCCCACACGAGGTGGCCGAGGGCGCCACCTGCCAGGCCTACGAATTGGCCGACTACAGCAACCTACGGGAGACCGATATTTAAGGACCCCAGAGCTAGGCCGCGGAGTGTGCTGGGCTTGGGGGTAAGGGGGACCAGAGAGGCGGGCTGGTGTTCTAAGAGCCCCCGTGCAAATCGGAGACCCGGAAACTGATCAGGGCAGCTGCTCTGTGACATCCCTGAGGAACTGGGCAGAGCTTGAGGCTGGAGCCCTTGAAAGGTGAAAAGTAGTGGGGCCCCCTGCTGGACTCAGGTGCCCAGAACTCTTTTCTTAGAAGGGAGAGGCTGCGGGCTCCGTGGGGCCTTTTGCTCCCAATCCCTATTTGAGAAACACTGCCCCATCCTCCATGCCCTGAACCCTGAGTAGACAGCCCCAAGCATGGCCAGGAAGGCCTGCCCCTCCTCTTCTGGGAAATAGGCACAGAAGCTTTGGCCGGCTACCCCAGTGCCTCCCTTAGGGAAAAAGTCAGTGGGACCAGGGCTCCTCAGTGGACAAATTTCTCCTTCTTACTGCCAACTGGAGGAACCCAGTGGACCTACCACCACCCACAAGCTTTGGTGGCAGATTGTATAGCCGTCATACAAGCCTGCTGTATTTATCCATGGGCCCGCTGTCCGCCACCCAGGCTCCTCCGTGCACACCCCATCACCTGGCCCCTACCCCTTATTACTTCCCCTCAAGGGCCTTACTGTTTACACTCTGTACATAGCTCATCGTGCCTGTGCCCATCACTTCTTGCTGGGATTCCAAGCCACCAATTGGAGAGCTTTATTTGTCATTTTGAGACATATTTATTGGTAAGAGTACTTCTATTTTGTCCAAGCTGTGCAAACTGTCCCTCTTTAGCCCATAACCCATTAAAAAAAAAATACTTTTTCCCCTAAAGTCTGTCAAGAACTAAAGGCCCGCAACAGAATAGATTGGGTCTACATTTGCCTTTCTAGTTTCAACTTAACTGACTCTTTAACTGATGGCTGCTGTCTGTTGGGAGTTTTAGCATGACCAAAGGACCTGGGGGGGGGTTGTTAGGTTTTAAAACTCACATGATCGGTCTTGTGAACCAAATAGTGATCCTAAGCACAAATTGTCCCTTTGTCAGTCTCCCCAGATGCTTATGTAATGCTCTGAGGGCCTCAGTGAGGAAGGCGGCCATCAGGTAAATGGGTGAAACATAAGTTTACATGAAAAGATATACAAGCCCGAGTAGATAGCTGTACATGGCTAGGAAAAGAACCCATACCTAGGAACCATGCTTGTTAGCTTTGAGTAAAATGTCATATTCCTACTTGTCATATTCCCATGAGATTGCAAGCATTTCAGTCTTCAGCTGGATAGTATCAACCACATACTTCCAACCAGCATGGGGGTGATGTCTGCGGTCCAGTGGACCCTTGGGAGGACAGTGGGTTAGACAATACACTGGGGTGTCTGGGGGTGCTCTGAACTGGATGACCCAGCTGCTGGGGCCACATAGACCAGTATTTTGAGCCCAAAGTTTCCATTCTTTACTAGGCAGGTAGTCTATCTAAAAGGTCACCCACAATTTCAGGCATCTCACCCAAGTTTTACAGAGTTAAAAAGGCAGCCAGTATCAGGGCTTGGAGCAGACATTTCACACGGTGAGTCTACAGCAGGTTCTGGGCTTTCAGGCCTGGCCTCCCTGGAGGCACAGGAAGGAAAGTTTATGGGTGGGAGTATGTTGGGTGCTGACAGAATGTTGCATACTCCAAAGAGGGCTCCACTTTGCAGCACATTGGCTGCCCCAAAGCTGGGGACACCAGCGGACAGCCCTCACTGTCTTCTGGCAGAGGTAGGGGCCATCTGTCAAATCAGTGGTCAGTAAGGGGGCAGACCGCAGTGTCAAAGAATTGAACATTGGCGTCTGGGACAGGACCTGTTTCAACAGCAGCCTTGGGTTTGCAGAGGGTCTCTAAGCAGAGTGAAAGTTGTTCCTGTTACCAGAAAAGGGGTCCCTATCGAGACCCCAAGAGAGGGTTCTTGGGTCTTGCGCAAGAAAGAATTCAGGGCAAGTCCATACAGTAAAGTGAAGGCAAGTTTATTACGAAAGTAAAGGAATAGGCTGGGCACAGTGGCTCATACCTGTAATCCCAGCACTTTGAGAGGCCGAGGCGGGTGAATCACCTGAGGTCAGGAGTTCGAGACCAGCCTAGCCAACGTGGTGAAACCCCATCTCTACTAAAAATATAAAAAATTAGCCGGGTGTGGTGGCAGGTGCCTGTGATCCCAGCTACTCAGGAGGCTGAGGCAGAAGAATCGCTTGAACCCGGGAGGCAGAGGTTGCAGTGAGCCAAGATCATGCCATTGCACTCCAGCCTGGGCAACTCCATCTCAAAAAAAAAAAAAAAAAAAAGTAAAGGAATAAAAGTGGCTACTCCATAGGCAGAGCAGAAGCATGGGCTGCTCAGCTGCTCATACTTATTTTTACTTCTTGATTATATGCTAAACAAGTGGTGGACTATTCATGAGTTTTCCAGGAAAGAGGTGGGTAATTCCCAGAACTGATGGTTCCTCCCCTTTATAGACCGTATAGGGTAACTTCCTTGGGTTGCCATGGCATTTATAAACTGTCATGGTGCTGGTGGGAGTGTATTTTAACCGGCTAATACCTTATAATTAGCATGTAATGAGCAGTGAGGACAATCAGAGGTCACTTTCTTCCCCATCGTGGTTTTGGTAAGTTTTGGTCGGATTCTTTCCTGCAACCTGTTTTATCAGCAAGGTCTTTATGGCTTGTATTTTGTGTCGACCTCCTGTCTCATCCTGTGACTAAGAATGCCTGATCTCCTGGGAATGCAGCCCAGTAGGTCTCAGCCTCATTTTACCCAGCCCCTATTTAAGATGGAGTCACTCTGGTTCCAGTACCTCTGACAGTCCCACATGCCAGGGCAGCTGATCCCACAGAAAGTCAACAGTGGGGACAAAAGGGGAGGGTGGGAAGGGAGCCTTCATCAGGAGGATTTGTGGGCCTCCCTGCCCCGGTTAACCCAGTGGGAGTGGAGGCAGGAAGGCCAGTGGCTTGCCCTATACTTGCTCTAGGCATGGTAATCAATCTGGAAAATATGTCTGATGTTTGAGCCTCAGCCTGTCTCTGGGACACAGGGGCCCCCTGCACACAGCTACCTCCTCCTCCGGTATCCCTGCACCAGGTTGTGAGCCTACAGGAGGTGCAGGAGGGCTTCAGAGCCCCTAGATAGATCATGCCACAGCAAGGGCATCCAGGTACCTTGTTCTAATCATCAGTAAAGCACTGTGCTGCTGACCTTGGTTCTGGGACATGGCAAAGGGTCATAGAATGGCCAAGAGGATGGGAGAAAACAGCAACAGACCTTCTGGAGGAGGCAGCCTCTTGCTAGTGATTTGGAGACCATCTGAAAGAAGTGCATTCACTGTACCATTTCCTGGGTCCTCAGGTGCTCAGATCCCCAGCCCAGCCCACACATCTGATTAGAGAGACTGTCCCTGAGATGCATGTAAAAAAAAAAAAAAAAAATGGGGCCATTGTCTCCAGCGAGTAGGAATTTCTTTACATGATCCTCAAGGGATGGGGTGAGGCCTGAGGGAGTTTGTGAATGAGAAAGGGATGGTCCTGTGAGATGTGACAGGGACAGAAGCAAGCCTCCGAGGACACTAGCATTCACCCAAGTGCCCACTCCCCATCCTTAAAGAGCTTCATTCCTGCTTCCCACTCAAGGACCCCATCTCCAGTCTGCCCTCCCTCTCCAGCTGGGCTCTCACTGCCCACCTTGCTTTCTTCCCACACTCTTCCCGGGACCTCTGTCCCCAGCATCCCCAGGGCTGCTTTTGCAAGTCACCTGGGACCTTCCATTTCCCTGGTCTCCTCCCCGCCTTCTCTGCTCCAGTCCACACTGGTGGCCACTCCCTGATTCCTGGAATGTTCCCTCCCTGCCTCTGAGCCGCGCCTCTGGGATCTCTTCTGACCTGCTGACCCTACTCTCTCTCTGCCTCCTCCACAGCCTTCTCTCTCCACTCTTAAATGCTCCCTAGGGTTTTATTCCTCTTTTTCTCAACTCTTCACACAGTTTTATCCACTCCATGTCATCTCAATGACCACTTGTACAGAAATGACTCCCAAGAGGCTGTCTCTAGCTCCAGATGTTAGTGTTCACCCTTCCAGATGTTAGTGTTCACACCCCAAATACAAGCCCCAAGGCCACTCGCCTACTGCAGTATCTCCTATCTCCTCTACTCTCTTTGGGCATGATGACGCCCCTGACCCTGCTGGCCCTCTCCACTCCCTGTCTTCCAGAGTCTTCATCTTCCTCCTGCCATACACAGATCCTTTGCCAAGCCCTGCACTTTTTGCAGCCTCCCTCATAGCTCACACCCAGTCATCCTGGGTTACGATAGAATCTGCACCTGCATCCACCACAGGGGAGAGGGCTCTGTCCCCAGGGCTGCTTGGGGCTGGGCTTAAGTGTTTACTAAATACTGGATCTTGGGAGTTGGCCCACTGACCCTTCTCTGGGACACAGCCCTGCTGCCGTCTGGCAGCTGGCTCACCATCACCAACCTTGCAAGGCCCTCACCCCCGCTGGTCCCACCAGTCCTCTGGGGGCTAGAGGCTGCAAGGAACCAGCTGCGCCCTCCATGGCGCCCTCCAGGTCACCTAACCCTCCCATCTGGAGCCCCACCCTGCCCCCAAAGGCTCCTGACTGTCATGCTGCAAGCCAGCCCCTTAATCCCTCCTCCAACGGGTGCCAACAGGTCCTGGAGAAAGTTTTGGGACCTCAGTCACCCTCCCTCAGTGACCTGTCAGAGCTTTAACTCCTCAGAGCACCCCTCACCCTGTTTCTATTCCCATCCTACTACACCCCCAGGGGTTGCATGTTCACCGTCCACTTGGAAAAACTTTCCTTTTTTTTTTTTTTTTTTTTTTGTGGCTTCAGGAAAGCATAAAACCAGATGCTTGTAAAGGATAAACTGGTCCCGCAGCCTCTCTGCTCAGAATGGCTTTCGGGAGCCCAGTGGACCCGTGCTCCCTCGGCCCAAGTGGTGCCGGGGCCTTTGGGCAGGGGGGCATTGCACTGCTGTCAAGGGTCTGGCCAGGACTTTCTTCCCTTCCCCAATCCCCAGCCCTTTTGGGAAGCAGTGAAACAAAGGGAATGCTGAGCAGGATGCCGGCCTACATTCTAAAATTGCTGTGGTCTGGGGAGGAATAAGTGGAACTTGCAAGATATGCTTGGAATCAAGAAGAAATCCAGGAGCTAGGGCCACAACAGGCTGAGATTTCAGAGCCAGGAGTCGGAGGTAAGGATGCATCAGAAGCATTTGCAGACACCTCAGCCACGACATCTGTGGATGTTTCTTCCAGGATTCACCACTCACGTGACTCCACCATATTGTTTTGGTCCACCTCCTTCTGTCCTGCCAGAACCCGAAAAAGGAATCTCAGTTCCTTTTCCTGAGAGAGGGAATCAGCTTGTTCCCATTCATGCACTGAGCCAAGCCACAAAGGCCAGCTTATGGATTGGCTAACTTTGGGTCAGGTCTGAACAGTGAGGGCGGGCACATGGGAGTGAGCGAGATGGATCATGTGGGGCAAAACACAGCCATCTGGGCACCAGCATCTGAGGGTGGGGGCGGGGCAGATAATGATGACATCCCTAGCACACCGGATCAGCTAAGAGCACAGCTGCAGGCAATAAGGAAGTGGATCAATAGCTGCATAAACCTGGGGCATTATTTTTCTCACTTGGCAAGTTATAGAACAGGTGGTTGCTGGTATTGCCAGTCAAGAACCCAAGCTCGCTCTTTTTTTTTTTTTTTTTTTTTTTTTTGAGACAGAGTCTCGCTCTGTTGCCCAGGCTGGAGTGCAGTGGCGCCATCTCAGCTCACTGCAACCTTTGCCTCCCGGATTCAAGTGATTCTCTTGCCTCAGCCTTCAGCCTTCCAAGTAGCTGGGATTACAGGCATGAACCACCACGCCTGGCTAATTTTTTCTTTTTTTTTTTTTTTTTCTGAGACGGAGTCTCGCTCTGTCGCCCAGGCTGGAGTGCAGTGGTGCAATCTTGGCTCACTGCAAGCTCCGCCTCTTGGTTTCACGCCATTCTCCTGCCTCAGCGGCGTCCCAAGTAGCTGGGACTACAGGCGCCTGCCACCAAGCCTGGCTAATTTTTTGTATTTTTAGTAGAGATGGGGTTTCACCCTGTTAGCCAGGATGGTCTCGATCTCCTGACCTTGTGATCTGCCCTCCTCGGCCTCCCAAAGTGCTGGGATTACAGGCTTGAACCACTGCGCCCGGCTAGTTTTGTATTTTTAGTAGAGATGGGGTTTCACCATGTTGGCCAGGCTGGTCTCGAACTCCTGACCTCAAGTGATCCACCTGCCTCAGCCTCCCAAAGCGCTGGGATTACAGGCATAAGCCACTGCGCCTGGCCTGAATTTTACATTTTTAAATGATTGGAGGGGAAAGTCAAAAGAATAATATTTCATGACACACTAAAATTGTATGAACATTACTACATAATATTCTCAAATTTGCCTCTTGGCTCACAAAGCCTAAATTTTACTCTCTTGCCCTTCACAGAAAAAGTTTGTCAACCCTCGCTTTAGGATGATTGAGGATCATTGCCAAAATCAGGATTCTGGCAGCAAGAAGAAACAGAGAATAGATTTCAGGTGGGCATTCCTGGTGTCTGCTACACATTCCGTCAACACATTTCAAGCCTGTATCCAGTTATCTAATTTGCAAGCAACATAAGCTAAGAAGTCCCCCTCTCACCAAGAACCTAGCAAAAACAAGTTATCTCAGAAGCCATCTTCTTCAAGGATATCTTCCCAGATTGACCAGATGTTTAGGTTTTTGGGTTTTGGTTTTTGTTTTCTTTTTTTGAGACGGAGTCTCGCTCTCCCAGACTGAAGTGCAGTGGCCCAATCTCGGCTCACTGCAACCTCCCCCTCTAGGGTTCAAGAAATTCTCCTGCCTCAGCCTCCCAGGTAGCTGGGCCTATAGGCACATGCCACCATACCTGGCTAATTTTGTATTTTTAATAGAGACAGGGTTTCGCCATGTTGGCCAGGCTGGTCTCAAACTCCTGACCTCAGGTGATCCACCTGCCTCGTCCTCCCAAAGTGCTGAGATTACAGGCATGAGCCACAGCCCTGGCCAAATGTTTAGGATTTTGAAAGACAGCTAGCCAGGCGCAGTGGCTCACGCCTGTAATCCCAGCACTTTGGGAGGCCGAGGCGGGTGGATCACAAGGTCAAGAGATCAAGAGCATCCTGGCTAACATGGTGAAACCTCGTCTCTACTAAAAATAAAAAAAATCAGCCAGGTGTGGTGGCATGCGCCTATAGTCCCAGCTACTCAGGAGGGCGAGACAGGAGAATCGCTTGAACCCAGGAGGTGGAGGTTGCAGTGAGCAGAGATCGTGGCACTGCACTCCAGCTTGGGCAACAGAGCGAGACTCAGTCTCAAAAAAAAAAAAAAAAAAAGAAAGAAAGAAAAAGAAAGAAAGACAGCTGTGAAAAGGAAAGGGGGACACCAGGAAATCCCTGGCTAGCCGCATCCCAGAAGACTGCAGTATTATTTGCTCAGTGAACTTGCCCCCAGCCAGTCATTTATCTATTCTTCAGTATTACAGGTCCAGAAAGCGGATCTGGTGACCAGTCTCATATAAGCTGATATGGACTTCCTAACTCACTAGGAAGTAAAGTTTGTAAGCCCAAGGCCAATATGCTAATTTTTAGTGGGATATATAACTTAACCATCAACAAGCCAATGTATTTATGACAATAAATGAGCTTGATGGGAAGTCAGTCCATGGTCTGAAAGCTGCTTCATGAGCTCACAGGCAAAGCTGAGGAGTTAGTGAACAGTTATTTATTTAGTGTACCAAGCACAGGACTTGATCCCTGGGCCAGGGTTCCACCTCCTGGTGCCTCCTGCCTCTGTTTCCAATACATCCCCTCTCCATCCTCCCATCTGACTCATGCTTCATTCACAGCCTTTAATTTTGCTCTGTGCCTTTAAGTTCACATTGCTTGTCTCTAATCTCCTCCATTGCGGGTCCATTTCAGAGTAGAACTCTCAGAAGACAATCTTAAGAACTTTTCTTTCCAAGCTCTTAAGGGGCATCTTACAGTCACCCTAGTGGACAAGCCTACAATGCCTACCACATGGGCTTCATACAGGTTAGGTAGTCGGTGTCCCCCTGACTCCAGCTATGAACTGCACCTTCACACGTGGGGCATAGGGGCCCTCTGACACCCTTCAACCAGCCAGTACTCTCCAACCATCAACAAATGGCCAGGTGAGGTCATCAAATGCATGCATTTGGTAGTATTTACTGAACACCTACTATCTGCGCAGTAGATGGGGATACAGCAGTGTGTAAAAGAAAAGAAACCTGCCACCATGGAGTTCTTGTTCTAGAACAGGGTGATAGGTAATAAACAACATATATGGCAGGTGAGATGGTGATAAGCAAAAGAAATATAACAGGAAATGTTGGGGATGGGGAAATTGCACTTTTAGACCCAACACTCAGGGAAGTTCTCAGCTAGGTGATGTGTGAAGACGGTAAGGGAGTGAGCCACACAGATCCCTGAGGAGAGCATCCAAGGCAGAGGAGACAGCAAGTGCAAAAGTCCTGCCATAAGAGGATAACTGGCAGTGTCAAAAATTAGCAAGGATGCCATTTACTGTGGCAACTGCAACAGTCCACGCAAGAGATGATGGCGGCTTTGCCAGAGGAATGGGGGTGGGAGTGAAGAGAACAGGTGGAGAGATTCTGGAGATGAAGATTTTGGAGCTACGCTAGCATTCCCACGCACTCAACCCATACTTAGCATCCCCTTCCCAAGCTACCCTCTAGAACTGCCTGCCTTATTAGGAGCCCTCAGGACATTTCTTTTTTTTTTTTTTTTTTTTCTGAGACGGAGTTTCGCTCTTGTTACCCAGGCTGGAGTGCAATGGCATGATCTCGCCACAACCTCCGCCTCCTGGGTTCAAGCGATTCCCCTGCCTCAGGCTCCCAGGTAGCTGGGATTACAAGTGCCTGCCACCACGCTCAGCTAATTTTTTTGTATTTTTAGTAGAAACGGGGTTTCTACATGTTGGTCAGGCTGGTCTCAAACTCCCAAACTCAGGTGATCCACCTGCCTAGGCCTCCCAAAGTACTGGGATTACAGGCGTGAGGCACTGCACCCAGCCAATTTTTTTTTAATCAAACACAGACACGACCAACTCAACTTGGTATTGAAGTCCTTTATAAGACCTCTCCCCTTAAAATACCAATGAAGAGCTGAAAAGAGGATAAAAATTCAAAGCAGGTCTTTAAAAATGAGGATATCAGCCAGCCATCTGCAAACAGTTGGGACTCCAGAGTTAACAAAGCTGAATTAAAAGACTCAGAGCTCTTGCCAGAGTGTTACCCTGTGCATCAAAGGCACCCCTGGCCAGAGGTGGGGAAGGAAAAGGCTCAGCCCTCTCCAATGCATATACCCCACCCTTAACTCCAAGAAGAGTCCATCCAATCATCAAACCTCCAGCCACTGTCCTGCTGCCCACACATTGCTTTCTGAGTAGCTGAGGACACAGTCGTGATCCTCCATTCTCCTGATCCCCTTCAGGAACTTTCTTTTTTGTTGTTTATTTGTTTGTGGGAGATAGGGTCTTGCTCTGTTGCCCAAGCTAGAGTGCAGTGGTGTGATCATAGCTCACAGCAGCCTTGAACTCCTGGGCTCAAGCGATTCTCTCACCTCAGGCTCCCCAGTAGCTGGGACTACAGGTGCATGCCACCATGCCCTGCTCATTTTTAAATTTTTGTAGAGACAGGGCCTCACTATGTTTCCCAGGCTGGTCTTGAACTCCTGGCCTCAAGTGATCCTCTCATCTCAGCCTCCCAAGGTGCTGGGATAGCAGGTGTGAGCCACCAAACCCAGCCCCTTTCAGGAACTTTCTACATCCAGTGAACACTTCATGCCCACTGGACTGTACCAGTTTGTGGGTTGGGAATCAGAAGGGATCTTGAGAGCAGGGTAAGACACCACAGTTTTTCAGGTCTTCATCTGATGGAAGAGAAGTAGCCAGCAGCTCTGAATTATTTTTAATTTTTTTATGTATCTATTTTTTTAGAGACAGTGTCTCACTATGTTGCCAGGCTGGACTCCTGGGTTCAAGCCATCCTCTTGCTTCAGCCTCCTGAGTAGCTGGGACTACAGGTGCGTGCTACCGCTCCCAGCTAGCTCTGAATATTTAGAATAAAATTCTTCCTCATCAGCCAAGAATTGGGCAGTGGGAACAGAAGATCTTTCCTCAATCTCATAGATTAGAACTAAAAGAATGCCCACTGGCTTCTATTCCCTACAGCCCCTTGGGCTGGAATCAAGCCATGAAATGCATCCTCCCCAGGGCCCTGAAGCCCTTGACCTATTCCTGCCAGGCCCCTTTGCTGGACCTGAGTCGCAGTAAGGGTAGCTTCCCATTCTGTGGATCCACGGCACATATCATCACCAGTGCCCAGAAAGCTCCCTCTTGGCCTGGATGACTCCCCTAAAGAAAGGTGTATTAGTCAGCTATAGCCACAGTAATGCTACAAAACAAGCCACCCCTTAATTCACAGGTTACAATAGCAAGCATTTATTTTTCTTGCTTAGGTCTCTGTCTGCAGATTCTAGTGTTGGTTCTAGGCTTTTATGGCTCAAATCCATTCCCCTTTTCTCTGTATTCTCCTTGAACCATCCGCTGTCTGGGGCATATTCTTCCCATGATTAATGACAAATACGTGAAGCTTTAGAGCTTCTGTTCCTAACACATCATCTATCCACATTTCACTGGCCAAAGCAAGTCATATGGCCAAGCCCAAAGCCAATGGGGCAGGGAAATATACTCTGCTCCAAGGAGAGGAAAGTGACTGAATATTTGCCAAAAATTTTCC
Source organism: Homo sapiens (assembly GCF_000001405.40). NCBI lineage: Eukaryota > Metazoa > Chordata > Mammalia > Primates > Hominidae > Homo > Homo sapiens. The sequence goes on along the minus strand of NC_000020.11, from coordinate 4,210,644 downwards.
AGTGCATCACAAGAGGACTGGCTCTTCTGGCAAAATTTCCTTCTACCCTTCTCTAGCCACCAACCAGGAGACCCCAGGGTGCAACTCATGACCAGCCCAGGAATATCCTAAGGGACCTGGACTCTACAACTGATGAGTGTTGGCCTCCTTTCAGCCAGCAAGGGTTCCTAAATTAAGGTGGACCACAGGCAGGGACAGTTGATATAATATCTGGGATAACTTCCCCATGTAGATAAGCAAGGTATAACTGGGAGGGCAGGATTCATATTCTGAGGGTGGATACACTTCTGGCAGGCAGTCTGGACATCACATTTCTGAGTCTCTGAATCTCTTTTTTTTTTTTTTTTTTGACATGGAGTCTCGTTCTGTCACCCAGGCTGGAGTGCAGAGGCACGATCTCGGCTCACTGCAACCTCCGCCTCCTGGGTTCAAGCGATTCTCCTGCCTCAGTCTCCCAAGTAGCTGGGACTACAGGTGCACGCCACCACACCCAGCTATTTTGTCGTATTTCTAGTAGTGACGGTGTTTCACCATGTTGGCCAGGCTGGTCTCGAACTCCTGACCTCGTGATCCGCCCGCCTTGGCCTCCCGAAGTGCTGGGATTTCAGGTGTGAGCCACAGCACCCGGCCAAAAAAACAACGGTTTTTTATTACACTGAGGAATGGCAAAGTTGTACAGATGCCGGTGCTCTCATACCCTAGCGGTGGGCATGTAAATAGGTAAACCTCTTCCCAAGGTAATTTGAGAGTGTCACCATGCGTCTTAGGTGGCTCACACTGATTTTAGGTTGTGTCTTACATCCCTGAGGAGTTTACATCTATAATAGGGTTACAAAAAATGTTTATTAAATGAAAGACAATAGTATAATTGCTGGAAAATGCAAGTTTTTTAAAATTAATATTTACTGACACAAATAGGCTTAAAAACATTCCTTGGGGGAAAAACAGAAACTTTAAGGCTGGGCATGGTGGCTCACGCCTATAATCCCAGCACTTTCAGAGGACGAGGCAGGCGGATCACTTGAGGTCAGCAGTTTGAGACCAGCCTGGCCTACATGGCCAAACCTTATCTCCACTAAAAATACAAAAATTAGCCAGGTGTGGCGGCACACACTTGTAATCCCAGCTGCTTGGGAGGCTGAAGCAGGAGAATCGCTTGAACCTGGGAGGCAGAGGTTCGTTGTGTGACCATACTTCATATAAGTATCCACTGAGTATAGTATGGAAAGGAAGGAAAAAAGAATAACTTTACAGGGGAGAAACCTGATAAACACTACTTTAGCCAGTTGATCAAGTTCAACATCAACAGTCATGAATCACATCAATAGTATGCATCCTTGATATAAGATGAAAATGGCACTTTACCTCTGTGACCTTCCTTCCAAAAAACCTCATTACCCAAGTCTAATTATGAGAAAAACACAGAAAAGGTGGGGCACAGTGGCTCACACCTGTAATGCCAGCACTTTGGGAGGCCAAGGTGAGTGGATCACCTGAGGTCAAGAGTTCAAGACCAGCCTGGCCAACGTGGTGAAACCTCATCTCTACTAAAAATACAAAATTATCCAGGCATGGTGGCGCATGCCTGTAATCTCAGCTATTTGGGAGGCTGAAGCAGGAGAATTGTTTGAACCTGGGAGGCGGAGGTTGCAATGAGCCGAGATCGTGCCATTGCACTCCAGCCTGGGCAAGAAGAGTGAAACTCCGTCTCAAAAAAAAAAAAAAAAAAAAATCAGAAAAAAATCCAGTAGAGGGAGATCCTATAGTATACCTGACTACTACTCCTTAAAAATTTCAAGGTCATCAAAAACAAGGAAAGCCTTAAAAAGGTCATAGCCAAGAAAAACAAAAACAGTTTGTTTTTTCTCTCTACTCACATTCAACACTTCTGTGATCAGATATGGTGGGCTTCCCTCCACATCAAGCAATTCTTCAGCAGACACCAACTGGTGTCTGTAATTCAGTTCCACTCTGGCACTACCTACCTGAGATGGTGTCAGATCCTACAGGTCAAGGGCTCAGTCCCGCAAGATGCCTCCACTTCAGACGCCAATTGCAAGTCCCAGGCTGAGACCCATGTTTCTGACTGACTGGCTATAAATCAGGGTTCCCACAACCTCATGCCTCAGGTTCAATACTTTTTTTTTTTTTTTTTTTTTTGAGATGGAATCTCGCTCTGTCGCCCAGGCAAGAATGCAGTGGTGCCATCTCGGCTCACTGCAACCTCTGCCTCCCAGGTTCAAGCGATTCTCCTGACTCAGCCTTCAGAGTAGCTGAGACTACAGGCATGTGCCACCACACCCAGCTAATTTTTGTATTTTTAGTAGAGACAGGGTTTCACCATGTTGACCAGGCTGGTCTTAAACTCCTGACCTCAGGTGATCCGCCCGCCTCAGCCTCCCAAAGTGCTGGGATTACAGGTGTGAGCCACCGCACCTAGCCTCAATAATTTCTTAAAATGGCACACAGGACTCAGGGAAACACTTTACTTAAGTTTATCAGTTTATTATAAAGGATACAGATGAACAGCCAGATAAAGAGATGGATGGACAGGGCAAGGTGTGGGTGGACGCGGAGCTTCCACGCCTCCTCTGGGTGTGCCACTCTCCCAGCACCTCCACATGTTCAGCAACCCAGAAGCTCATGAGAGCTTGTTGTTCAAGAGGGGGTTTTTTGGTTTTTGTTTTGAGACCATGGTCTAACTCCGTCACCCAGGTTGGAGTATAATGGCACCAACATGGCTCACTGCATCCTCGACCTCCCAGGCTCAGTGATCCTCCCACCTCAGCTTCAGCCTCCTGGGTAGCAGGGACTACAGGCACATACCACTATGCCCAGCTAATTTTTTATAAACATGGGGGTCTTGTTATATTGCCCAGGCTGGCCTCAAACTCTTGGATTCAAGCAGTCCTCTAACCTGAGCCTGCCAAAGTGCTGGGATTACAGACGCAAGCCACCATGCCCAACCCAAGAGTTGTAATAGAGCTTAATCTCTAGCCACCCTGCTTCCCAAAAATTCGTGGGGGGGGATAAAAATTCCAACCCTCTAATGCTCTAATTACTTGGCCTTTCTGGTGACTGTCCCCATTCTGAGGTTATCTAGGGGACCAACCCTAAGTCACCTCATTAGCATTAACTCAGGTATGATCAAAAGGGGCTTATGATGAATAACACAGGACACTGCAATCATTCAGGAAATCCCAAGCGTTTTAGGAGCTCTGTGACAGGAACCAGGGACAAAGACAAAATACTGTGTATATTTCCTATTATACCACAGAACCTAAGGAGACAAGACAACTAAATATAATGTGGTATTCTAGAAGAGAAAAAGGACATTAGGGAAAATATGAGGAAAGCTGCATAAATGATGGAGTTTAGTTAATAATAAGGTATCAGTATTGGTTCATTAATTATGACAAATGTATTATACTAATGTAAAATGTGCATAATAAGGGAAATTGGGGGGATGGGAGACTATCTTCTTGCTTCTTTAAGTTTAAAACTGTTTTAAAAATAAAGTTTATTAATATAAGAAACAGAACCGAAAGACAAAAATAAACAAATACACAGTTAGAGCTGGAGACTTCAACACTATTCTCTCAACAACTGATAGAACTAAACTGAAAATCAGCAAGGATATAGAAGAATTCAACACCATCATCAGTCAACAGTATCTAATCAACATCTATAAAACACTCCACCCAGCAAAAACAGAAGACATATTATTCTTTTCAAGCACCTGTGGCTTGTGTACCAAGATCACGTAAACCAAAAAGTTGCTGAGGCAGGCATCGATCAATTTAGAAGTTTATTTTGCCAAGGTTAAGGACATGCCCAGAAGAAGTAAACTCAGAATCACAGAAACAGTCTGTGGTCTGTGCCTTTCTCTAAAGATGAATTTAAGGGCATCAGTATTTAAAGGGGAAAAGTGGGCTGGAGAGGAACAGTCCTCCACATGTTGCAAGAGAAAAGGAGCAAGTAGAGAAAGAGTCAAGACGTATTCGTCTCAGGCTCAGCAAATCGTTAAGGTAAGGGGAACACGGAGTAGCTACCTTTGGAGATAATTTAACCTGTTATCTGTAGCTGTCTGCTTAGGAACAAAATGAAAGGCAGCTTCTTGCGTGATTCGGCTCTCAGCTTAATTTTTTTCTTTTGGCCTGGTGAATTGGGGTCCCGAGTTTTTATTTTCCTTTCATAATCATATACCATATCCTGGGCCATAAAACAAACCTGAACGAATTTAAAGGAATTGAAATCATGCCAAGTGTGTTCCCCAACCCCTGTGGAATCGAACTAGAAATCAATCAGAAAGGTCACGAGAAAATCTCCAAAAACTAGGAAACTAAAAAACACACTTCTAAATAATCCTTGAGTCGCAGAGAAGTCTCAAGAGAAATCAAAACATTTATTCAACTGAGTGAAAATGAAAACACATCTAAATTTGTGGGATGCAGCTTAAACAGTGGTGAGAGGGAAATTTAGGACACTAAATGCTTACATCAGAAAAGAAGAAATGTCCCAAATCAATAATCTGACCTCACATCTGTGAAACTGATATAGGAGTTTAAAAAGGAATTAATTTAGCAGATAGTAAAGGTAAGGAAGTCCTCGGTAAGGTTTCCCTTTTAATACAAAGCAGCCCCCAAATCATTCCTTTTTTTTCTTGAAACGGAGTTTCACTCTTGTTGCCCAGGCTGGAGTGCAATGGCGCGATCTCGGCTCACTGCAACCTCTGCCTCCCAGATTCAAGCGATTCTCCTGCCTCACCCTCCCAAGTAGCTGGAATTACAGGCGCCCACCACCACGCCAGGCTAATTTTATATTTTTAATACAGACAGAGTTTCGTCATGTTGGTCAGGCTAGTCTCGAACTCCTGACCTCAGGTGATGCACCAGCCTCGGCCTCCCAAAGTGCTGGGATTACAGTTGTGAGCCACCGCACCCGGTCAATCATTCTCTTTTCTAACAAATAACAGCCTGTAAAGTCGAGCTGCAGACATAAAAATGTGCACGAGTGCATGCTGGCAGCTGTGCCAATAGGAAAGGGGCTACCTGGGGGCTAGGCATGTTCAACATGGCGGCTCCATCTTCCTTTTCTTTGCCAACCACGTGTACAGTGAGGAGAAGACAACATGGCACCGGCCAAGTAACAACTCCATTTGCATAATAGAAGATTAGGATGGGGTCGCCAGCTTCCTCGCATGCTATGTAGACGTCAAACCTGGTCCAACCAATCTTTGACCCCTATAAATCAGACAGCGCCTCCTCAAGCCAGCCTATAAAATCCAGAGCACTTTGCTGCAGGCTGGAAGTCCCACTCAGGAGCCCCTCTCTCTGGCAGGAGAGAGTGCTATTCTAGTCTCCTTTCTCTTTCTTTTGCCTATTAAACCTCAGCTCCTAAACCCACTTCCTGTGTGTCCACATACTCAATTTTCCTTGTTGTGAGACAACAAACCTCAGGTATTTACCCAGACAACGACACTGCTTCAAAACTAGAAAATAGAAGAGCAAATTAAACTCAAAGCAAACAGAAGGCAGGAAATACTAAAGATAATAGTAGAAATCAATGACATGGAAAACAGGAAAACTGGAGAAAAGTAAGTGAAACAAAAAGCTGGTTCTTTGAAAAAAAAAATCATAAAAGTAATGAACCTCTAGTAAGGTGAACAAAAGGAAAGAGAAGGCCCAAATTACCAATATCAAGACTGAAACAGGACATCACTACAGATTCTGCAGACATTAAAACTTATGAGAGGAAGTCAAGGCCATGATTAAAGGAAAATTCATAGCTTTAAAGGCACATGTTAGAAAGGAGGAAAGCCAAAATTAAGAAGCACCCACCTCAGAAAGAAAAAGAACAGTACATTAAGCCTAAACAAAGTAGAAAAAAGAAAATAATAAAGATAAGAACAGAAGTTAATAAAATTAAGAATATACTTACAAAAGAGAGGATCATGAAGCCAAAAGTTGTTTCCTGTGAAACAGGAAAAAAAAAAGAAAGAAAAGAAAATATGAATAATCCTATAATAAATAAATTAAATCTGCAACTTAAAAAATCTTCCAAGACTAAATGGCTTTACCTGTGAATGCCATACACACATCTAAGGATGCAAGAACACCAATTTTATTTTATTTTATTTTATTTTTATTTTTATTTTTATTTATTTGAGACGGAGTTTTGCTCTTCTCACCCAGGCTGGAGTGCAATGGCGTGATCTCAGCTCACTGCAACCTCTGCCTCCCGGGAGGAACACCAATTTTAAACAAACTCTTACAAAGACTAAAAAAAGAGCAAACACTTCCAAATTCATTTTATGAGGCCAGAAAAACCTTGATACTAAAATCAGACAAGGACATTCCAAGAAAGGATGGGGAACAACTGGAAGTCTCATACCTGCTCCATGTGCCCCAGGCAGCTTTCCTGAGCCTTGGATGACCAGCTCACAATTCTTATATCCCAGGTAAGTTTTACATCCCAGAGCCACATGACTCACTGGACTAATGTATTGAAGGACATCCTGTTTCTGAAGGGGACTAGAACAGAGTCCAGACAGTTTTATACCTGCTGGAGGGTATGTCCATTGGTACAACCACTTTGGGAAGCTGGTTCATATTATCACCTGAAGTTGATGTGACTTTATGAGCCATCAGTTCCACCTCCAGGCACATACCAATCAAAATGTGTTCACATGTGCACCATGTGACAAGCATGCTCATTGCAATATTTATTCATAATAGCCACAAACTAGAAACAACCCAAATGTCGCGGTGGCTCATGCCTGTAATCCCAGCACTTTGGGAGGCCAAGGTGGGTGGATCACCTAAGATCAGGAGTTCAAGACCAGCCTGGCCAACATGGCGAAACCCCATCTCTACTAAAAATACAAAAATTAGCTGGGCATGGTGGTGTGTGCCTATAATCCCAGCTACTCGGGAGGCTGAGGCAGGAGAATTGCATGAAACCAGGAGGCGGAGATTGCAGTGAGCCAAGATCGCGCAAATTCACAGCAGCCTGGGAGAAAGAGCGAAACTCCGTCTCAAAAAAAAACAACAAGAATAACAACACCCCAAATGTCCATCAAAAAAAGAGCAAATAAGGCTGGGCATGGTGGCTCATGCTTGTAATCCCAGCACTTTGGAAGGCCGAGGCGGGCGGATCACTTGAGGCCAGGAGCTCAAGACCAGCCTGGCCAACATGGGGAAACCCTGTCTCTACTCAAAATACAAAAAAATTAGCCGGGCATGGTGGCAGGTGCCTGTATTCCCAGCTACTCAGGAGGCTGAGGCAGGAGAATCGCGTGAAACCAGGAGGCAGAGGTTGCAGTAAGCCAAGATCAGGCCGTTGCAATCCAGCCTTGGCAACAAGAGCGAAACTCCGTCTCAAAAAAAAAAAAAAAAAAAATTAAAATTAAAATTAAAAAAAAGATCAGATAAGAAAAATGTATTATATATAAAAATGCATGAGCTACTACCTCACACAACGACATAATGCATCTCATGAATATAATGCTTCACAAAAGAAGCCAAGCTTCAAAGAACACATTCTGTGAGATTCCAAATATGGAAAGTTCGTGATAGGCAAACAAATTAAAAATGATAGTGTTAGAAGTCAAGTCCTTTTGAAAGTGGGAGGAACTTATGTTTCATGAAAGGGGCTTTGGTAGTGCTGGCCATGTCTCATTTCTTTACCTGCCTCATGGCACAAAGCTGTTCACTCTGATAATTCATCACACATTTATATTTTGAGTAATTATCTCCATGAAGCAGGTTCACTGTGCACTTAGTTACCAACTTGTCTGAGTCCAGTGAGACAAAACACCCACATATGCAACAAGTTACATGAAGAGGATCTATTACTTACAGATAGGCACCAAGGGATAACAGAAGCCTAGGGTTCATTGTGAGCTGGTCACCTAAGGCTCAGGAAAGCAGCCTGGGGCAGATGGAGTCTCAACTGTGCATGCCCCACTTGCACTGCAGCTGAGGGCTCCCAAGAAGCAGCCCACCTGGGCTTTATACCCCGGAGATACATGATTCACTGGACTAAAGTGTTGAAGGACATCCTGTTTCTTTTTTTTTTTTTTTTCTTGAGACGGAGTCTCGTTCTGTGGTCAAGACTGGAGTGCAGTGGCACGATCTCGGATCACTGCAACCTCCGCCTCCCAGGTTCAAGCGATTTCCCTGCCTGGCCTCCCAAGTAGCTGGGATTACAGGCGTCCAACATCACACCAGGCTAATTTTTTGTATTTTAGTAGAGACGGGGTTTCACCATGTTGGCCAGGTTGGTCTTGAACTCCTGACCTCAGGTGATCCACCCACCTCAGCCTCCCAAAGTGCTGGGATTACAGGCGTGAGCCACCGAGCCCAGACAGGACATCCTGTTTCTGACAAGGACTGGAACAGAGCGCAGGCAGTTGCAGCCAATCCCTCCTTATCACAGGATGTTACATTCCCAGCACATTCTACAGTTATTTTGAGAACTACAAGCAAGAAAGGGGGAAGAGCTGGGTTGGTCCAAGGCCACCAGGAGAACTGTCCTGCACTCTGTATGCTATGTTTCAGTATACAAAGTTGAAGAAAGGCCAGGTGCAGTGTCTCATGCCTGTAATCCTAACACTTTGGGAGGCCAAGTCAGGAGGACTGCTTGAGCCCAGGAGTTCAAAGTGGAAGCCTGGGCAACACAGTGAGACCTTCACTCTAGAAATAATTTTAAAAATTAGCTAGGTGTGGTGGTGCATGCCTGTGGCCCCAGCTACTCAGGAGGCTGAGGTGGGAGGATGGCTTGAGCCCAGAAGATTGAGGCTGCAGTGAGCCATGATCACACCACTGCACTCCAGACTGGGGGACAGAGCAACAGCCTGTCTGGGAAAAAAAAAAAAAGTTGAAGTAAAAATGAGAAAGAATCATAGACCAAAGAGATTTAGGATATAGCAATGGTTCCTAATCAAATCTGTCTATGATGATTCAGGCTGGGCACACCTATAATCCCATCACTTTGGGAGGCAGAGGGGGGTGGACAACTTGAGGTCAGGAGTTCCAGACCAGCCTGGCCAACATGATGAAACCCTATCCCTACTAAAAATAAAAAAAAAAAAAAAAAAAAAAGCCAGGCATAGTGCAGCGTGCCTGTAATCCCAGCTGCTCCCAGAGGCTAAGGCAGGAGAATCACTTGAACCCGGGAGGCGGAGGTTGCAGTGAGCCAAGATAGGCCACTGCACTCCAGCTTGGGTGACAGAGTGAGACTCCATTTCAAAAAAAAGAAAGAAAAAAACATCTCTCTTTGATGATTCAGAAGGTAATCTTCATGCCTCACAGGCATTGCTAAGCTTTTTTATTGAATCCTGGAAGTGTGAAAATTTGATGGTGGAGAATATATTGTAACATAATAACTGTGCAAGGACATAAAATGGCAAGTTTAAGGAAATAGACGTGCGGACAAATTGTCCAAAAAGTTATTCCTAAAATATGGCATACCCCGTGAAATTGATTAATCTGGGTAAGTTCACTGTCCCAGAACCTCTTGAATAAAAGGAAGGCTGGGTACACTTGCCCCACATGCTTTGTTTTGTAAACATCTTCGTTCTACAAAAGTATCTGTGTGATTGTTCACTAGGTAGGAAAAAAAACCTTTCAGAGATTAAAAAACACTGATCACAGTGGGGGCCATGTAGCTAGTAAGTTAATGGAGCTTTGACCGAAGGCTGTCTTGCAGTAGCCCAAGAAATCTGAACCCCTGCAGGGTTAGTTCCCCAGTTCCTGCCTGAAGAGCAAAGGCAGATATCGTTCGCAACAGTCAAGCTCATCTCTTTGGCCCCCTGACTTGTGAAATGAAAGCCATTATGGTAGGAAAAGGTGGCCCCTGATGGAATTAGAGGCAGGAGTTGCTGCCTACATTGAAGAACACAGGGGAAAGACCAATTCAAACCAGTTCTAGGGGTGGCCCTGGGCATCCATGGCTTTTCTTTTTTTTTTTTTTTTTTTTTTTTTGCTCTTATCGCCCAAGCTGGTAGTGCAATGGCGCGATCTTGGCTCACTGCAACCTCCACCTCCTGGGTTCAAGTGGTTCTCCTGCCTCAGCCTCCTGAGTAGCTGGGATTACAGGCATGCGCCACCACACCCAGCTAATTTTTTTTTCTTTTTTTTGAGATGGAGTTTCGCGCTTGTTGCCCAGGCTGGAGTGCAATGGCGCAGCCTCGGCTCACTGCAACCTCCACCCCACGGGTTCAAGCGATCATCCTCCCTCAGTCTCCTGAGTAGCTGGGATTACAGGCTCCCACTACCACGCCCAGCTAATTTGTTGTATTTTTTTTAGTAGAGACGGGGTTTCACCATGTTGGCCAGGCTGGTCTTGAACTCCAAACCTCAGAAGATCCACCCACTTGGGCCTCCCAAAGTGCTGGGATTACAGGCGTGAGCCACTGTGCCTGGCCTAATTTTTGCATTTTTAGTAGAGACGGGGGTTTCACCATGTTGGCCAGGCTAGTCTCGAACTCCTGACCTCAGGTGGTTTGTCCACCTCAGCCTCCCAAAGTGCTGGGATTACAGGCATGAGCCACTGCGCCTGGTCACCCATGGCTTTTAAAGCTCCCAGGTGATTCAATGTGCAGTCAAGGGCAGGAACCACAACTCTAAGTTAAGCCAGGAACACTGAGTTGTTGGTTTCTTAAATCTCCCCAAATGATCCTTATGCCAAGATGAGGAACCAGTGGTGTAAACAGCACATCTCAGACTTTACTGTGCAATCAACTCACCTGGAGCTCGTGTTGGAAAAAAACTCAGGTTCTGATTGAGGTAGGAGGTGGGACTTGACTCCACAGGTGGGGCTAGGACACCACACCAAATTGAGAACTAGCTGAAACAGGAAGAGACAAAAGCATCCCTCCGTAAGACATGTCCATCAGTGTGCCATGTCAGTTTACCATTGCCATGGCAACACCTGAAAGTTACCACCCCTTTCCATGGCAACCACCCAATGATCCAGAAGTTATCACCTTTTTCCTAAAAATGTCTGCAAAATCCACCCCCTTAATTTGCATGTAGTTAAAAGTAGGTATAAATATGACTGCAGGCTGGGCGCGGTGGCTCACGCTTGTAATCCCAGCACTTTGGGAGGCCGAGGCGGGCGGATCACGAGGTCAGGAGATCGAGACCATCCTGGCTAACATGTTGAAACCCCGTCTCTACTGAAAATACAAAAAATTAGCCGGGCGTGGTGGTGGGCGCCTGTAGTCCCAGCGACTCGGGAGGCTGAGGCAGGAGAATGGCGTGACCCGGTAGGCGGAGCTTGCAGTGAGCCGAGATTGTGCCATTGCACTCCAGCCTGGGCGACAGAGCAAGATTCCGTCTCAAAAAAAAAAAAAAAAATGACTGCAGAACTGCCTCTGAGCTGCTCCTCTGGGCACACTGCCTGTGGGGTAGCCCTGCCCCACAAGGAACTGTGCCTTTGCTACTGCTGTGCACTGCCACTTCAGTAAAAGTCGCTGTCTAACACCACCAGCTCACCCTTGAATTCTTTCCTGGGCAAAGCCAAAAACTCATAATGCAGGGCAGCTAAGCCCCAGTTTGGGAGCTCACCTGCCCTGCTTTATGATCCGGCAGGTCTGAGGATGGAGCCTGGGATTCTGATGCTCTAAAAGGCTCCCAGGTGAGGCCAATGCTGCTGATCCACTGAACACACTTAGAAGAGCAAGGCTCTAGACAGGCAAAAGAAATGGAAGGCCACCGCAGCACTGGAACACTCACAGGCCGTGGGGAAGCCCTAACACCTGCCTGCAAAATAACTTAAAGATGGGCAAACTCTCCCTGGGAGGTGAGCTCTAGAAATGTATGACAAGGGGCATGAGGGAGGGAGGGATGTAAGGAGATTATTAACCCCTGCTGTGTGAAAAGCATGAGGCACAGCTGAGCCTCACTATGAGTGCGGTATTATAGTTAGCACAGATCGACCCAAATGTGCACACAAATCACCTGGAGACCTTGTTAAAATGCAGATTCTGATTCAGGTCAGAAGAGGAGTCTGATATTCTGCATTTCTACTGAGTTCCCGGGAGATGCTGATGCTGCTGTTCAGGGGACCACACTTGGAAAAACAACAGTGTAGACAAAAAGCAAGGAGGACCAGACTGGAGGACGGAAAGTCAACTTAACCCAACTGGGAATGGACAGGGCCTGGCAGCCAGCCCTGGAATAGCCCAGGGCCTCTGCTCACTGAGCCTTGGCAACTGAGACTTGTGCTGGCTGCCTGGTATCTGTGGTGGCCCCAAGAACCTTCCAAAGATGCTTTGATAGAAATGAGGGCTGCAGAACCCCCAGAGGCCAGCTGTGGTGAGATTAACTAGAAGGAGGCTCAGGTGAATTTTCTCAGGGAGAAGAGAACTAAGATGCATAATGACTCAGTGTCAATAGCCTTGGAGGAGAACCAGGGAGAAATCTACACTTCCTGCTAGTGTGGAATGTGGGAGCTTGGAGCCATTATACCTTGAACTCCCAAAGCTAAACCACTCCTACTCTGTGACCCGTCCGTTCTTCTCCTAGGTATAGATCCAATAGAAATGCATATATAGGCCGGGCACGGTGGCTCACGCCTGTAATCCCAGCACTTTGAGAGGCCGAGGCAGGCATATCACTTGAGGTCAGGAGTTCGAGACTAGCCTGGCCATCATGGTGAAACCCAGTCTCTACTAAAAATACAAAAATTAGCTGGGCATGGTGGTGGGCACCCATTATCCCAGCTGCTCGGGAGGCTGTGGCAGGAGAATTGCTTGAACCCGGGAGGCAGAGGTTGCAGTGAGCCAAGATTGCACCACTGCAGTCCAGCCTGGGCGACAGAGCAAGACTCCATCTCAAAAAAGAAAAGAAAAAAAAAAAAAGAAATGCACATATATATACACATATACGTATATTCACCAGAAGACTAATACTAGAATGTTGGTAGCTGCACTGTTTTTTGTTTTGTTTTGTTTTTTGTTTTTTTAGACAGAGTCTCCCTCTGTCGCGCAGACTGGAGTGCAGTGGCGTGATCTCTGCTTACTGCGATCTCCGCCTCCAGGGTTCAAGCAATTACTCTGCCTCAGCCTCCTGAGTAGCTGGGACTACAAGCACATGCCACCACACCCAGCTAATTTCTGTATTTTTAGTAGAGACAGGGTTTCACCATATTGGCCAGGCTGGTCTTGAACTCCTGACCTCGTGATCGGCCCACCTCAGCCTCCCAAAGTGCTGGGATTACAGGCATGAGCCACCGCACTCAGCTAGCTACACTGCTTTTAATAGCCAAAAACTTGAAACAATTCCAGTGTCCATCACCAGGAGAAACGATACACAAATCATGGCATATCACACAATGGAATATGATCAAGCAGTAAGCGTGAACAAATGCTTGCTACATGAAACAACATGGATGGACCTCACAGACACAAGCTAAAGAAACCAAATAAAGAAACCAGGTAAGATAAAGAAACCAAATGGGTCATGTTTACATGAAGTACAAAAATGGGCACAAGTTAAACTAAAGCATTAGAAGTCAACATAATGGTAGCCCTTGGGAGGAGAGGGCCTGTGGCAGGAGGAACAAAGGGATACTTCTGTTTCCTGATCTGGGTGCCAGTTACATAGGTAGGTTCAAAATTTATAAAGCTGTACACTCGTGATCCATGTATTTTTATTTATTTATTATTTATTTTTGACACGGAATGGCACAACCTCGGCTCACCGCAACCTCTGCCTCTCGGATTCAATCCATTCTCCTGCCTCAGCCTCCCAAGTAGCTGGGATTACAGGCATGCGCCACCGTGCCTGGCTAATTATTTTTCTATTTAGTAGAGATGGGGTTTTACCATGGGTCAGTCTGTTCTCAAACTCCTGACCTCAGGTGATCCACTCGCCTCCACCTCCCAAAGTGCTGGGATTACAGGCATGAACCACCACACCCAGCCTCGTGATCAGTGTATTATTGTACACAATTATACTTCCAATAAATATGTTTACTAATTTTTTAAATAAGACCTTATTTTGTTCCCATTAGGAAGCCAGATTTAACAGGACACATAAGATATATCCACACCTGTGACTTATTCCTCACACCCACATTACTTAATCCACACACACAACTATTACAAATACAACCCGTAAGTCCAGCTTTCCTTAGGGAACAAACTAAGCACACATTTCTTATTTATTTACTGAACTTGTGTCTTAAAGCATAGTGAAGCTTTTCTTTTTTTAAGCACGTAGCCTGGCATACAAAAGGAAATCATTAAAAGTCTGATAGATGAACAAAAGAATGAACAATTGAACAAAAGTAAATATCTCATCTCGGGGGCCACCAGCCCTCTTTTTTTTTTTTTTTTTTTTTTTTTTTTTTTTTTTTTTTTTGAGGCAGAGTTTCGCTCTTTTTGCCCAGGCTGGAGTGCAATGGCACAATCTCGGCTCACTGCAACCTCCACCTCCCGGGTTCGAGTGATTCTCCTGCCTCTGCCTCCCGAGTAGCTGGGATTACAGGCATGCGCCACCATGCCCGGCTAATTTTGTATTTTTAGTAGAGACGAGGGTTTCCCCATCTTGGTTAGGCTGGCCTCGAACTCCTCAGGTGATCTGCCCGCCTCAGCCTCCCAAAGGGCTGGGATTACAGGCGTGAGCCACCGCGCCCAGCCAACAAGCCCTCTTTATAATGTTAAGAATGAAAAATAAATGATACTGTAGAATATTATAATCTTATTTTATTCACTTATTCAACAGTAATTAAAGGCACTCCCATGATTTTATGTTGTTTGTTTTAATTCAGAAAAGCTCACGGAGAATCCAGGACACACATTTTCTCGGTGCAGCAAGAGGGCTGTGTCCCCATCTGGGCGGCAGATGGCACCAGAGGATGTGGATCAGCCCTTGAGGTTGTCCTTGCTTCCAGAGATCCTGGAAGCCGGGGTACCCCCTACCCTGCCCAGCCACAGTGAGAAGGGGAGCCAGTCCAGCCCTTCCCATGTCTCCATCTGCAGCCTGAAGAACCTCACCAACAACCGCTAGTGCATGACAGTGAGGATGCCGCCAGAGCAAGTGTAGAAAATGCTGCTGTGCAGCTTGACTGAAGGAGAGGCCCAGGAAGGTGGTTCCCGAGGAAGGTGGCTGATGGGAAAGACATGAGCATAGTGAAATGTGGGTAGAAAGGATGAAGTAGAATGATAGGGGACGGAAAGGACGAGGCGACGTCCCTGCACTTGAGGCATGGGAAGCACAGGTGGAGGGTCAGCCTAGGAGAGGCAGAAGCCTTACCTGCCACTGTCTGCAGGGAAGCTCCAAAGGACAGGCATGAAGGCTGGTGAGCTTGTCGATGGGTGAGGAAGTTGCCTCCAGGTGGCTTCTATTTTGTCTATGAAGCAAGAGACCAAATTGCCTATTGACAAATGATGGTGGAGAGGGGTGTCCTCCGGATTTCCACCATTTATCTTGGCTTCTTCAATCCCTTGCTTATTCATTCTGCAAATATTTATTGATAACCTATTATGCTAGGCACTATTTTGGACTCATTGGACGTGCAGAAGTGAACATAGAACTTACATTCGGGGTTGAGGGAAAATAAATAAACACATAAACATCAAAACCAAAAACATCGGGGAAAGAGAAGGACTATGAAGAAACAGGCAGGATGAGAGAGCAGAGAGTGCGGGAGGCTGTGGAAACAAGGTGCTCAAGGAAGTCTTTTGCTCAGGAAGTCTTCCCAAAGAAGTGACATCTGAGTAGAGATCTGAAGGCAGCAGCAAAGAGCCTTGCAAATATCTGGGGTACGGGGGCATTTCAGTTAAGGAGGACAGCCAGGGTAAAGGGAAGGAGAGGGTGGAGAGGAGGTGCGACCCAGGGAGACAGATCACATAGGATGTTGGAAATCACCTTTGATCGTTAGCATGATGGTTGTTACTAAGAACCAGGGAAGTGGCGTGGCTGGATTTATATTTTGAAAGGATCATGCTGCTGCTGTGTAGAGGACAGGCTAAAAGGGACAGTCGTGGAAAAAGGAACCCCACTTAGGAGGCTGTTGCAGCCATACACAGCAGAGATGTGAGGAGCGGTGAAGGAGGCTCAAAGTCATCAGACTCAGGATGTGTTTTGTAGGGAGAGCCAACAAGATTTGCTGATTGCAAATCTGATGATCAGATGTGGAATATGAAAGAAAAAGGAGTTGATGATGGCCCAGGTGTTTGCCCTGGGCCAAATGGTGGTACCACTTACTCAAATGTGGAAGACCAAGGGTAGATTAGATTTAGGAAGAAGCAGAATTTCTGCTTTAAATATGTTAAGTCCCTGGAAAGATTCTGCAGGCAGTGTTGTTATTTGCTTTGCTTCGGCCAGCAGGTGTGGCTCTGTTTTTTTCCAGCAGCAACTGATGGTGGCCCAGCCGTAGCTGTAGACTGAATGCTGATTGGAATTGTGTCAATTGGCTTTAACAAAACAGGGGGTAAGAGAGTTGAGGGTATTAGAAAGAGACCCAGTGAAATGACAGACCAAATGTAAAACTCCAGTCCTGGAACCAATTTTAATTAGTTTGAACTGATCAGAAGTGACAGAAGCCTAACCCAAACTAATTTGAGCAAAAGAGGAGGAACCAATGGCTCAAGTAACAGAAAGCACACCCAAGTAGCTCATAGAAGAGAAGAAAGAGCTTCAAGGCATAATAAAGTGGCCACATGACCTTGAACTGGGGATGAAAGACAGCTGTGTAACCCCATGTGCCCCATGTATGGGAGTGGGATGGTAGCAGATCTAAGACAAAAGGGAGTAGCTGGGACTACAGTGAAATGGAGAGGGAATACCCAATCCAACGCATTGAAATTGCACAAACACAGAGTTTGCAGAAATAAAATGTGCCTAACACTTTGCATTCTCTGAGAGAGATCCAGGCTTTGAACGTTCTGGCAAAATCGGTGTTAAACAATCACCGCTAGAATCATGGGAAGTGAGAAGACTTTTGTACCTACCAGTCTCAAGCTGAACAGTATGAAACAGGGCAGTGAACGACCCCCTTTTTTAATATTAAATACATAACACAAGATTAGATGTCCTGGCTGCCACCTTAGTAGAGCAACAACTCTGCCTGCGTGTTGATGGCTTGATTGTCCTACACAAATAAGGAGTCTCAACAAACAGCCCAGCCAGTCATTATAAAGAATACAGCCTTCTGTAACTCTACCATTAAGTTTGGCAGACCACTAATTAGACAGGCAATTCTCAAGAACTGAACCAGCAGCCTAACTCACTCTGCACCTTGGAGTTACCCTTGAGCTCACCCCCAACAGGACCTAGTAAGTTAAGGTGACTCAAACTAGAGGTGCTTCACTCCTACATTTGTTTGCAGGAGGGGCAGACACTCCAGGCAGCTCCCAAGAAATAGGATATAACATATTACTCACCTGTCATACAGCAGCAAAGGCAGCAAGAGACAGCGCCTGCCAAATACCCCAGGCCCTTGGAGGACACAGTTCTGAGGTTTGCACAAAGCCACAGCTAAATACCTTCACCTGAAGTCCCTGATGCCCACAGCACGAGAAACCATGCAACCAATTCTCCATAGAACCTGGTGCAGGAAAGAACTTTCCTCTCCTGTGAACTTCTACCAGGCAATGGGAATTTTATAGGAATCATTGGCATGGGTGTTGGCCTGAGCGTGCCACATTTGCCACTTCTGATAGAGCCCTTTGGGTTTCAATCTATGCCAAGTCTATTGTGAAACTTCATCACAGCATGAAACATATCCTGTGTTCCTTGTACGTCATACCTCCTCACTTCTGAATGGCTCTTGCTCTTCCTTGCTCATCTGTAGTGAGTGAGTTTGGTTTTTGGAACTGTCAATCATAAATGGTATCCACATTATGCAATTATTGATGTGGAGGCAGCACACTGCAGGAGGTGCCCCCTCTGGCGCCTGTCCCTGCCTGTGTGTCCAAAGGCTCCCCCTCGGCTTCCTCCCCGGGTTGCTCCCTTCCCCACGAGGTCATGTCCTCTCCAAGCCGAGTAGCCTTGCATGGCCTCCCCGAGGTCCTTCCGAGAACCTCCATTTCCTCTGCTGTGGAACAATCCCAACCCCTCTTTCGTGGTTGCAGATGCAGAGAGGATAAGGGGATACAGGCAATGGAGCTGGTAAACAGTGACATCCTATATTAATTTGAGGTCACTGCTTATCACCAGGCAGCCAGTGGGGCCTAAGAGGGCCCCTCCTCCCTTTATCTGCTCTCAGATGTGTCATCTCTGCTGCAAGGAGGAAATTAGCTGGGCCAATATGACCATGTTTTGGAATGGGAGAATGGAGGGAGGCATTCTCAGACTCTTGAAACTTTCTTCCATGTATAACTTGATGCATTTTTACCAACGTGTATGCCCATGCAACCGCCACCCAGATCAAGATGTGGAACACTTCCGTTACCCCAGGAAGTGCCCCCATCCCACTCCTGCCCAGCCGCCACCCCCAGCCCCTCATTTCCAACACAGTAGATTAGTTTTGCAAGTTCTTGAACGTTACATAAAAGAAATCATATAGTACATAGCCTTTTGTCCGGCTTCTTTAACTCAACATAATGTTTTGAGGGTTTTTGTTGTGTTGTTGTTGTTGCTGTTGCTGTTTTGAGATGGAATCTTGCTCTGTTGCTCAGGCTGGAGTGCAGTGGCATGATCACAGCTCACTGCGGACTCAACCTTCTGGGTTCAAGCATTTCTCCCACCTCAGCCTCCCCAGTAGCTGAGACTATAGGCACGCACCACCATGCCCAGCTAATTTCTGTATTTTTTGTGGAGACGGGGTTTCGCCTTGTTGCCCAGGCTGGTCTTGAACTCCTGAGCTCAAGCAATCCACCTGCCTTGGCCTCTCAAAGTGCTGGGGGTACATGAGCCATCATACCCTGCCAACATAACATTTTTGAGGTTAATCCATGTTGTTGCAAATATCCATTCCTTTTATTTATTGCTATATAGTATTCCATTGTGTGAGTGCACTGGAATTCATTCTACTGTTGATGGACATCTGGGCAGCTTCCAGTTTTTTAGCTGTTAGGGTCCATGTTACTGTGGACACATTGGTATATATGTTTGGTGAGCACCTGCACGCCTTTCTCTTGGGTGTATACCCAGGGGTGGGAACGCTGGCAAGCACATGGCCAGTTTTAGCTGACTCCGCCACAGTCCCCCAGTGTGGTCGTACCACACCCACTCTCTCCAGCAATGGCCTTAAGCTTTTTTGGTGGCACCAGCCTCTTCTTTTCATCATACAATAGAACGAGCCTACACCACGCAGTCAGACAGACTTCAGCTCATGTCTCGGCACCTCTGAGCAACCCTGGGCAAGTTACTTAACTTCTCTGAGGTTTCACTTGCCCACAGGAATAAATAAAGCCTGAGTTGGCATCACTGTCAAATCAGTATCACATTCACATGGCATAGTGCCAGGCAATTGGCACTAAGTGAATATTCTCTCCCTCCCTCTTACCCACCCATGAAGCTCCCTGAAGTGCAGTCACCAAGTAAACATTTCCAGACCTTTCACCCCACCATGGAGTCCTTTAAAATTCCTCTGCCTATACACTGAGAACCTATTTATCACTTTCTTCCCCGATACTTATGTGATGGGGCTGCTTGTCTCCATCCCACTGCAGTGGATGGGGAAATCCAACAACTGAGGAGTCAGAAGCAGACAGCAGACTATGAGTCATGGAAGGTAACAGGTAATAGAAGGTGGCTTCCATAAAGTGACCCTGGGCCAGGGAGGAGACAGACATGCTTTGACCAAAGTAAGGTCCAAATTTACATTGTCTGCTTATGTACCATTACAGAAAGATGTCCAAGACATATTGTGGGTTTTTTTGATTTTTTATTTGTTTTTCTGTTTGTTTTTGAGACAGAGTTTCACTCTTGTTGCCCAGGCTGGAGTTCAATGGCGCGATCTCGGCTCGCTGCAACCTCCACCTCCTGGGTTCAAGCAATTCTCCTGCCTCAGCCTCCCGAGTAGCTGGGATTACAGGTATGCATCACCACACCCGGCTTATTTTTTGTACTTTTAGTAGAGACAGGGTTTCACCATGTTGGCCAGGCTTGTCTTGAACTCCTGACCTCAGGTGATCCACCCGCCTTGGCCTCTCAAGGTGCTGGGACTACAGGTGTGAGCCACCGCGCCCAGCCTACAGGACATATTGTTAACTAAAACAAGCAAAATCAGGACAAGATGAATACTTTGGTGCTTTTGTATAAAAAGGAGGGAGAAGAGTGTTTTTATATTGACTTACATCTAGGAATGGATACCCCTAGGGCTGTGGGAGAGGCAACAGTGACTGGGGACACTGTGAGAGGGAACATTTCAGTGTATTGTATCCACGTGGACAGCTTTTGGGCTTAAACTACATGAACAGATCATCTATTCAGACAATTTTTCATATATAGGCTGGGCATAGTGGCTACGCCTGTAATCCCAACACCTTGGGAGTCCGAGGCGGGTGGATCACCTGAGGTCAGGAGTTTGAGACCAGTCTGGCCAATATAGCAAAACCCCAACTCTATTTAAAATAGAAAAATTAGCTGGGCATGGTGGTTCGTGCCTTAATCCCAGCTACTCGGGAAGCTGAGGCAGGAGAATCGCTTGAGCCTGGGAGGTGGAGGTTGCAGTGAGCCGGGATCATGCCACTGCACTCCAGCCTAAGCAACTGAGTGAAACTCCGTCTCAAAAAAAAAAAAAATTCATATATATATTTAGACATTTTTCAGTTATGCCAGCAGGTGGGTATGAATCCCTTGATATAAGCTCCATGAAGATTTCTGGCAGATCAACCCTGGCAAAGCAAAATGTCTGTGAGGTTTGTGCATGTAGGTGTGTGTGCGTAAGTGGATGCAGGTAAGCATGTGTGTACGTGTGTCTGTGTGTTAGACATCTCCATCACAACCTACCAGCCTGGGCAATATAATGAGACACTCTCTCTACAAAAAAATAAAAATAAAAATTAGCCAGGCATGGTGGCACATGCCTGTAGTCCCAGCCACTCCTGAGTAAGGAGGATCATTTAAGCCCAGGAGTCTGAGGCTGCAGTGAGCCATGATCGCACCGCTGTCTCCAGCCTGGGCAACAGAGTGAGATGCTATTTCAATCAATCAATCAATCACCTGGGAGGAGGAAGGGGCTGTCATGTCCTGTCAAGGGCAGGGCCCTAAATGTCCATGAAGGGGACCTGACCTAAGCTCTTCATAACTTCTCCCCATCACCCCACCCTTCAACTCTGTAGAATTCAAATTTCATCACTAGAAATCTAGGATAACAAAATGACTAACTGTTCTTTAAGATGACTGGGGACAGTGTGAATGGGGACATTTTAGTGTATTCTTATATAGCTTTTGGGCTTAAACCACATGGACAGAGCCATGTGGATCTGAATTCAAATTTCATCACTAGAAATGTGGAGTAACAAAATGACTGTTCTTTAAGGTTCTGTGTGTGTGTGTATGTAGGTAGGTATATGTGTAGGGTAGAGAGGTGAGTGTATGTAGGTGTGTGTACCTGTATATGTCATGTGGGTTATGTGTAAGGTGTAGTGGTGAGTATATGTAGGTATGTGTACCTATATATGTGGGTGAGTATATATAAGGGGGTAGATGTGTCTTTTTACTCAGCAAAAAGAGAAGAAAAAGAAGTTTTTCTTTTTTAAAAGACATCTGTAGAGATGGGGTCTCACTGTGTTGCCCAGGCTGGTTTCAAGTTCCCAGGCTCAAGCAATCCTCCTGCCTCAGCCTCCCAAATTGGTGGGATTACAGGCATAAGCCACCATGTCCAGCCTAGGACCCTTTTCTAGATGCCTAGTATGTAAAGGAAAGTATTGATTGCTTTATATTTGGTGTGTGAATTATTCCTTAATACTGAGAAGCTTGACAGCTTACATGTAAAGGATTACAAATAACACCTTCTTTTATTTTTCTGAGACAGGGTCTCACTCTGTCACCCAAGCTGGAGTGCAGTGGTGCAATCATGGCTCACTGCAGCCTCAGACTCCTGGGCTCAAGTGATCCTGCCACCTTAGCCTCCCAAAGTGTTGGGAGCACTGAACCCAGCTGACGAGAAGAAAAATCTATTCCCCAATAAATGGCAGGCCTTAGGATATTCCCCCTGTCAAAAAATAAAGCCCAGAATGACCATCTGCCCAGAGGTTCAAAAGAAGGCCACCCCAGGGGCCAGACCCACAGCCCAGTGGACAGGTGACGCTAATTAACAATGAACAAGCCAGGTGCGGTGGCTCACCCCTGTAATCCCAGCACTTTGGGAGGCCAAGGCGGGTAGATCACCTGAGGTCAGGAGTTCAAGACCAGCCTGGCCAAGATGGTGAAACTACAAAAATACTAAAAATACAAAAATTATCCAGGCGTGGTGGCGGGCGCCTGTAATCCCAGCTACTCAGGAGGCTGAGGCAGAGAACTGCTTGAACCCAGGAGGCAGAGGTTGCAGTGAGCCGAGATTGCGCCATTGCACTCCAGCCTGGGCGACAGAGCGAGACTCCGTCTCAAAAAAAAAAAAAAAAAAAAAAAAAAACAATGAACATACCTAGGCTTGGCATGGAGCCACCACCACTGGGGGTCCCCCCCACAGAACTCCTTCACTCCAGGCAGTGTGTCACTCAGTTAAACTCAGAGAAGTCCAGCAAAAAAAAGGGCCAGCAAGCAGACTCAGGCCAGACCTGAAGGAGCAGGTGTACACTGAGAGGCCCGTATTCCTGAGGGGCCTTACTGGCAGGAAGGTAAACACCCCAACAGATGGGGGGAGGGGACATCCCTTCCAGTAAAAGCAGCACCTTCCCTCTGGGGACACAGCCAGGCCAGGGCTCCCCAACCTTCTCCCTCTCACTCAAAGGCGGTGTGACAGAAATAAACACACACACATACACAGAGGCTGAGAAAACCAGAGAGAAGCTGAGGGGCAGGGGAGGGAGCCTTTTTTATTATCCCAAAATGCAAAGTATTGAAGGCACTTACAATAACAAGGCAGGACAGAGGGTAGGCAAGTGGGGGCACGGGATCCAGCACAGAGGTAACTCAACGGCCCACCTGCTCACGGCCCAGCCTGGAGAAAAAGAAAAGCTACAGGGCCAGGTCTGAAGGCAGTCAGGGCGGCTAGCTCTACAGAAGATAAAAATCCTTTCTACAGAGGATCAGGAAGGCAGGAGCACACGGCAGCAAGGGGCAGGCTGGAGGTCACGAGTTAGTGGCTCTTCTCAGCAGCGAGGACAGCCCTCAGGTCCCCTGCTGGAAGAGGTCTCGGTACATCTCAATGAGGCGGGCAGCCTCACGCTGGCCGGACAGCAGAGCACCGTGGGTGGTGGAATAGTACTTGCGGTGGGTGGCCTCACCGGAAAACAGCACCTGCATGGGCTGCGGGGCGGGGATGGGGAGGTCAGGGTGGAGGAGCAGCAAAGGCCAGAAGGCCACAAGGCCACCCCTCTCCACCAGAACCTCCCATCCCAATGACAAATTAGAGAGGCTCTGAGACGCAGGTGCTGCTGCTTCCACAGGATGAAGAGCTGCCCATCCTATCTGGCCACTTTCCCCTGCTTCTTCCCTTGGCTCTTTCTGTCTTGAGGCCATTAGGAGTCCCGGCTCTGTGGTCTCAAAGGCTCTTTGTGCCTCTTACTTGTCAACTTGAGGCAGGTGGTTTAACCTCCCTAAGCCTTGCTTTTCTCATCTTCCAAATGGGTTTATACCACCTACTTCGGAGGGTGGTTGTAAGGATTAAGGGAAATCATGTATCTAAAGCACTTAGAACCTGGAAGAACAAAGCACTCAATAAAGTCGGTGGTAATTTGACAAACCTTTACGGCGCCCCTGTTAGCATCCAGGGGCTGTTCTGGGCACTTGGAAGAGAAAAGGTGACCAGGCTGCTGCTTTGTGGAGCTTCCATGCTGGTGAGGAAGCCAGACATGAAACCCAATTACTAAACAGCGTCATATGTGATGGAATGGGTGTTTGCACAAGGCGCCGAAAGCCCAGAAAAGAGGCCCAGTGTCAGGGGATCCCACAAAGCTTCCCAGAGGACAGGACCTTTGAACTGGTTCTCGGAAGATGCTGAGTGAACGGACAGGCAAAGGACATTTCAGACAGAGGGAAAGGTGGGGGCAAAAATGTACCAAAGCAGGCCTTGCTCGGGGGACAGTGAGAATTTTGGTACAGCCAGGGCTCGGCCTTGAGAAAGCAGGCTGTCTAGGTGAGGTCTAGGCAAGGTACAAGTTCTTGCACCCCAAGTTTGCATTTGGACTTTATCCTAGTTCCTCTCAAATTCAAGGTGCAAGGCACCAGCTGTGGATCCTGATAAAATGCAGTTTTTATTTATTATTTTTGAGACAGTGTCTCACTCTATTGCCCCAGTTGGAGTGCAGTAACATGATCACAGCTCCACTGCAGCCTCAACTTCCTGGGCTCAAGCAATCCTCCCATCTAAGCCTCCTAAGTAGTTGGGACTACAGGCACACACCACCACACCTGGCTAATTTTTTTTTAAATTTTTTGTTGAGATGGAGGTCTTACTTTGTTGCCCAGGCTGGTCTTGAACTCCTGAGCTCAAGCCATCCTCCCACTTCGGCCTCCCATAGTGCTGGGATTATGGGCAGGAGCCTGCATCCCTGGCCAGAATGCAGTTTTTAATCCAGCAGGTCTGGGGTGGGCTGAGAGTCTGCATTTCTTTTTATTTATTTATTTATTTGTGTGTGTGTGTGTTTAGGGCGCCAGGGGTTGTTGTTTTTTGGTTTTTGTTTTGAGACAGGGTCTCGCTCTGTCACCCAGGCTGGAGTGCAATGGCATGATCTCAACTCACTGCAACCTCCGCCTCCCAGCTTCAAGCAATTCTCATGCCTCAGCCTCCCAAGTAGCTAGAACTACAGGTGTGCACCACCATGCCTGGCTAATTTTGTATTTTTAGTAGAGACAGGGTTTCGCCATGTTGGCCAGGCTGAGAATCTGCATTTCTTTTTATTTATTTATTTATTTGTGTGTGTGTGTGTTTAGGGCGCCAGGGGTTGTTGTTTTTTGGTTTTTGTTTTGAGACAGGGTCTCGCTCTGTCACCCAGGCTGGAGTGCAATGGCATGATCTCAACTCACTGCAACCTCCGCCTCCCAGCTTCAAGCAATTCTCATG
Organism: Homo sapiens; assembly: GCF_000001405.40. Lineage (NCBI taxonomy): Eukaryota > Metazoa > Chordata > Mammalia > Primates > Hominidae > Homo > Homo sapiens. The sequence goes on along the minus strand of NC_000020.11, from coordinate 4,185,513 downwards.
CCTCAGCCTCCCAAGTAGCTAGAACTACAGGTGTGCACCACCATGCCTGGCTAATTTTGTATTTTTAGTAGAGACAGGGTTTCGCCATGTTGGCCAGGCTGAGAATCTGCATTTCTAACTAGCTCCCAGGTGAGGCTGGTACTGATCTACCTACCCTGAGTAGTGAGGCTGTAATCCCACCACCAAGGAGCCCACAGAGGCTGTTACACTGAAAGGGGTGTTGTATACTGTGTCAGCCTTGACCTCCTGGGCTCAAGTGATCCTCCCACCTCAGCCTCCCAAGTAGCTGGGACCACTCCCACATCCAACCATTCTCCTCTTTCTCCTCAATAACAAAGTCCTGATTTTTAACTGGGTCCATTGCCATCCAGAATAAAAATGATACTGCCCAGCCTCTGTAGCAGCTAGGTGCAGTCATGTGTCTATGTTCTGGCCAATAAGCATTAAAGTGCACTGTTGCTTAGAGACACAGCTGACTCAGCTCCAAGGGTTCCCTTCTTGCCATCTGCCTTTCCTCTTCCTTCTAGCCTAAGATGCAGATGTGAGAACTGGAGCTTCTGCAGCCCTCTTGGACCACAAGATGGTCTTGAAGATGAGAGCCAGGTGCTAATGATACGGGATCCTGCTGCCTGCCTCCAGATTTCCTTTTGATTTTCCTTGTTTAAGTCACAGTTGTGTTTGCTTTGCTTTGCTTTTTGCTACATGCACTAGTCCTAACTGATGCAAGTGAAAAGAGAAGATTTGCTTTTTAGGAGGATGGCTGTGGCAGCAGAAAGGGCCTTTCTGAGGACCTCTCTCTCTTTAAACACCAGCCCTTTTCTCTCTCCATCTGAGCACCGTTGGGCAGGCATAGTAGATGCTGGTTGACTGAACTCTTCTTCACCAATTATACCAAATAATTGTTTTAAATATAACTGTTGAGTTTTAACATTTACTGTGTGTGTCTACTTGATGGGGGAAACTCAAAATCCACTTTATGGGAGCATAAATATATATTTCAGATTTTTTTTTTTTAGTGTACAGTTGGCATATTGTGGAGCATCAGTAATCTAAACTTTATTTTCTGAAATATATTGGGAAAACATTTCCATTGAATCAGTGCTGTCCAATAGGACATTCCTATCGCTATGTACTTTACTATGGTAACCTCTAGCCACATGTGGCTGTTGAACTTGAAATGTGACTAGTGCAACCAAGGAACAAAAACTTTACTGTATTGGCCAAGTGTGGTGGCTCATTCCTATAATCCTAGCACTTCAGGAGGTTGAGGCGGGAGGACAGCTTGAGCCCAAGAGTTCAAGACCAGCCTAGCAGTATGATGAAACCCCATCTCTACCAAAAAAAAAAAAAAAGTACAAAAATTAGCTGGACATGGTGGCGTGCCGGCATGCCTGTGGTCCCAGCTAGTTGGGAGGCTGAGGTGGGAGGATCACTTGAGCCCAGGAGGTCAAGGCTGCAGTGAGCTGTGATCACACCACTATACCCCAGCCTGAAGTGTAGACAGAGCAAGACCCTGTCTCAAAAAAGAAAAAAAAAATACTGTATTAATTTAAATTTTTAATAAATTAATTTAAATTGAAAGTGGCTGATAGCTACCGTATTGGCCAGCACAGCATGGAATAGCTCAGTTTTCATAACATCAAGAAAACATTTTAAGTTTCAATTTGATTCCATTTTTTCTTCCAGATATTAAGTGCACACTTTTTTCCTTGTGTTCTCTCTCATTACAGAAGCTACTCCATCCCTGCCTCACCTGAGCACCCCTTAGTGAACACTACCCTAGCCCTCCTCACCCTGGACCGGACACACATACAAAATACACCCACAACTCCCCTCCTCACCCCAAACGCCCCGCTTACCGCTGTCTTTGAGCTCTCTGTGTACGGCAGGGGCTTGGCCAGCTTCTCCACATCCGCCCCGCTGGAGCCCACCTGCGTGTATGAATAGGAGCCGCGGAAGTAAGGGTTGCTGCCCCAGGCCGAGCGCAAGATTCGCCGAGGTTTTGGAATGTTGGGGTTCCCTGATGGAGAGTCAGAAAAGCCAAGAGGAGGGAGGATAAGAAATGGCTGCATATGGAAGATGACCCCAAAGGGACAACCCCCCACCCCACCTCCAGGGCTCCGGGAGGACCAGACTGCCAGGGGTAGGCACGGAGGATAGAAGAGGAAGGAGGGAGGCTGGGGCTCGAGCTGTGTACCCACTCAGCGCCTCCTGTGACCCCCGGCAAAACGCTCCACCTTACTTTTCCTATCTATCTGAAAACACATGACACATAATCATGTTTCCCCGCCTAATATCGGGGGTTCTCGTGAGGTCCTCCTGGAATAGTGGGTGAAAAATGTTGAGCTGAAAGACTCAGAGAGTAAAAGGCAAATCCAGCTCTTAGCAACAGAGCACAATGGGCGGTGATCTCTGAGTGTTTTACCATCAGCCTTTAGAAAGGGGGAAGAGACACAGCGCCCATAATTCTGAGTGTGTCAAGTTCTAAACTGTCAGCAACTGAAGAGCCTTTGGCTGAATGTGGCACCCTGCAGTGGCTCTCCCGTGGGGCACAGCATCCGAGCTTCACGGTCTGGGGAGGAGAGAGCTGCCATGGGTCCACCAGAGGAGGGCAGGTGAGGAAGAAGCAGGGTGGGGGAAGCGGGTCGTGGGGCACGTGGCGCACCTGTGAACTGACGCAGCATCTCCGTGCAGATCTCGGCCACTGCCTCGTCATCACACTTCTCCATGACGAGGGCCTCCTCCCCGCAGATCCAGCCGCTCAGCACATGGCCGTAGCGCTCAGGCGGGTAGAGGACATCAAAGCCGCAGATCTTGCGGTACCAGAGCTCAGGTGGGTAGGTGAGGGTGTGGCTCTCTGCTTCGTCCTCCCACACAAACTGTAGGCTGTTGCACTCAGGGCCCCAGAAGGGCTCCTCGAATTCCAGAAAGATCTTGTCGGTGGTGCCAATGCCCAGGCGGTGGATGGCAGCCACCTTCTCTGTGGGCAGGCCTGGCCGGAAGAAACTGGTGTACTGCCTCTTTAGCACACCTAGCGACACGGTCACAATCACATGGTCCGCCGGGATCAGCTCACAGTCCTCGCACTCCACCACCACCGACCACTGCTCATCCTCATCCCACCTGCCCCCCCGGGGCTCCTCTCCACCCTGGCCACCCTCCCCAGTGTCGTGATTGTGGTCGCCCTCACCCCGGGGCTCAATCTCAGGGCCTCTGGGGCGGGCTGAGGCCTGGTCCCAGTGAATGCAGCGGACAGGTTTCCCTAGCTGGATGACGTGGGCAGGGATGCCCTCCGCCAGCAGCTCCACAACCCGCATGAAGCCCGAGGGGATGATGTGGTGAGCGCCGGGGATCTCGGTCCACTCCCCGAAGGCGCTCAGGGACACCTCGTCCATGCTGTGTGAGCTGCTCTCACAGCTCTCCACCTGCGGGAAGACCCAAGGAGAAGCCAGGTGACCGCCGGGGTTGGGCAGGGGTAGGAGCAGCGTAGCCCTCCTCAGACCCAGACGCCCCCAGAATCCGTCTTCCTCAAGATACCTTCAGGTACTGCTGGATCATGGCGAGCTTCAGGCGCTTGGTAGCCTCTGGGTCGTCAGGGTCATTCCTGATGCGGTTACGCACCTCCTCTCGGGTGAACACCCCCACGCTATTTTGACTTTCAGCATTGACTGGTTTATCGTGCCGGAAGAACTCCTGGGTCAAGTTATAGACCTGCCAGAGAGACCCCATGAGACTGAAAACACCTCATCACACCTCCATCTCAAACAGAAGGCCCCCAACCCAAACCCACCAGTTCCCAGGTGTCCCCTGGATGCACTGAGCCCCTGGTCTCTGTCCCTTAGGGATCCGATGTTGCACTCAATGCTGCACCAAAAGCCAAGGCCCCGGGCAGCCACCTCCTCGCCTCCGGCCTGTCGGGGAGGTGGGATAAGCCCCGGAGGTTTTCTTGCTGGGCCCTCACTTAGGACAATGTGAAACATTTGGTGCCCATACAGTCTGTGGGAAAGAAGCCACCCCTCATGGACTCTGCATGGGCCTCCATGGGCTCCACCTCCCACTGGAGGATGGGCATTTGCACACATTTACCTGTTCCAAGAACGATACGTGCACTTTCCCTGCCACCCCTGCCCAAGTGTGTCTGCTTTGCCCGCTCCCAAGAGGGCAGTCTGGAGCTGTGGCCTGGCCAGCAGAAGGGCCCCTGACGACTGGAGACACCTCCCTGGGCCTGTGCAGCTCCGTACAAAGCACCCCCTTTGCTTCAGGCCTCAGCCACGAGTAAGGAAGCTGAGACGCAGTGGGGAAGACAGGAACACAAAAGCCAGGGTCTCAGGAGGCCCCAGTGTGCCAAGGAAGGGAGATGCATTTCACGGGCACGTTTCAGCAAGAACTCCAGCCCACACCTCATCAACAGATAACGACGATCAGTCACTTGAAAAGGGGTCTGACTGCCCGCCCGACCCTCGTGCCTGTCTCATATACAGTCCCCACTAAGCACTGGGCAGAGCTCCCTGAAGGAAGTAAGCCAGTCCAGGGATCCCCAGAAGCAACATTTACTCAACATTTACCGGGCTCTGTGCAGGACACAGCTTGTAATGTGGGCGAAACAGTCCCTGCCCCTCCCCTCACTCCAGCTGGGGAGACAGTCCACGATTGGGCTGCCGTGATAGGAAAGAACCCGGGGCTGTGAGGTCAACGCAGACAACCCTGGGCAGCTGAGAGACAGCCAGGGTGGAGAGGAAAGGGAGAAGAAAAGCATTTCAGGCAGAGGGAACAGCAACCTCAAAGATGGAGAAGCAGTCAGGAATCCTGAAGGGGTTTGGTTTTGCTGGAGGGGGCAGCAAGGAGAGAGGATCTGAGAGCCGACTTTGGAAGGGCAGGCAGGGTCCAGGGCATAAAGGACTGAGAGTTATTCCAAGGACTCTGGACTTGATCCAAGGCCCTGGCATCGCTGGAGGGCCGTGAGCAAGAAGGCGGCAGGATCACATGCCCACAGCTGTCATTCCCAGGACACCAGCTAATGGAGGCTCCTTGGTCGAGCCCCTGTGGCTGAGCTGATGAATGGTTTGTTTCCCTTCCTAAAGTGAGTGTGGTCAGCACACATGTCTGGGAATGGTGTCTGCCCTGTCCCCCAGCCCTGGGCTAGGCCCTGGGGCCACAGGGTGAAGGAAGATGGCAAAGCACAGTGATGTCCACCACCCGCCACCACCACCATCTCACTCAAGGGGAAGGCCTCCACCTGAGACACAGACATGAATTAAACTTATCTCTGGAGACTAAATTATAAAGAAGAAAGTGAGGGAAATTGTTTCATCTTGCCTCCCTGCAATCAGGAGATGCTGAGTGGTGAGCCTTAGCTGGAGTCCTCAGCAAATTCTTCACCCAGGACCACTGCCAAGGGTCAGGCTTTCAATTTGCCTCCTCCCTGGGTTTTTCCCTTGGGCGATAAGCAACCTGGTAGCCAGTCCTTAGCTTATGTTAACTAGAGGCCAAAATGCCCAGCTGAGGAGTAATGAATTTAGTCCATCGACATGACTCTTTGCATCAGCCACCAACGAGGGCAGCCTTCACCGAACATGGGTGTATCACATGGCACAGTCTCCTCTCCTGGGTTATTCGACACCTTCCCAATGTGACCCAAGGAAAATCGGACAGGTCTGTGACAGCTAATAATACTCACCCCAATTCTCATTAAGCACTTATCATTGGTTCTCATTCAATCCTCATAATACTATGAGGTAAGTACCACCATGCCCATTTTACAGAAGAGGAAAGTAAGGCTCAGAGAGGCTCAATAACCTGCTCAAGATTCCACAGCTAATAAATGGTAGAACTGGTATTTGGTCAAGGCAGTCTTACTCCAGAAACTAAGCTCTAGATGATACTATTGCACAAACTCATGTATTTGTTAATAAATAAAATACATTCAGATGAGTGGCTCTTCAACGTCATCATCTTTGGGGGCTGCATACTTATTATGAAGCCACACTGAGGCAAGGTTTCACGTGCTTAGAGCACCCCTCCTCAGAATGGCCTCTAGGATTGGTTAAAAGCCACACAAAGAAATCTTGACATCAGGGTTACGCCTTATCCTTTTGACTCAAAACATCACCACCCAGATAATCCACCATATCCACTCCATATCCACAACGCACTCTCTTGACTTTCAAAAATCAAACCCACCAGCAGAATTTGATGATGATCTACTTTTAACGACATTTAAAAGAACAAACCACGGGCCCCGAAAGTCATTTTCAAGAGGCATCCATGTTTGAATCACTCACAATAACCTGGGAATCAGGCTGGGGCTGATTTCCAGCAGAAAAGAAAGGTCTGTTTTGAAGAATACTAGTTCTTATTTGACCCATTAACAATTCAGTCTCTTTGCACATGAGTGAGAATGCACAACACAACGTACCTTGTTGGTGCACACACATGACACCAAGTGTGCCTGTCCTCCATAGAGCAGGGACCACCCCAAAGCAAGGGTCATGTCTCCTTTCTCATGCCCAAGAGATTAGAAAATGCACAATAGGCTGGGCGAGGTGGCTCACGCTTGTAATCCCAGCACTTTGGGAGACCAAGGTGGGCGGATCACCTGAGGTCAGGAGTTCGAGACCAGCCTGACCAACGTGGTAAAACCCCATTTCTACTAAAAATACAAAATTAGCTGGGCATGGTGGTACATGCCTGTAATCCCAGCTACTCAGGAGACTGAGGCAGGAGAATCGCTTGAACCTGGGAGGCGGAGGTTGCGGTGAGCTGAGATCGTGCCATCGTACTCTAGCCTGGACAACAAGAGCGAAACTCCGTCTCAAAAAAAAAAAAGAAAGAAAGAAAGAAAGAAAAGAAAATGCACAATAGGTGTTTGCTGGCCAAATTACTGACCTGGAGTGAAGGATCATTCATTACACTACAAATGACAAGCTATCAGATGACAGGGCCTACACATTACTTTGCTTGTTCGGTGCAGTTCACACAGCTAAAGAATACTAACAATATTAATAATTTTTTAAAAATCTGAATAAAACAAGGATGTGTGCCATTGCCACTTCTGTCCAACACTGCACTGAGATACTAACCAGTGCAATAAGGCAAGAAAAAAATAAAACTGTCTACAGCTGTGCTATCCAACACAGTAGCTACTAGACACCTGTAGCAATTTAAAATTAAGAAATTAGGCCGGGTGCAGTGGCTCACGCCTATAATCCCAGCACTTTGGGAGGCCAAGGTAGGCCGATCATGAAGTCAGGAGTTCGAGACCAACCTGAACAACATGGTGAAACCCCATCTCTACTAAAAATACAAAAATTAGCTGGGCATGCCACGTGCCTGTAATCCCAGCTACTCAGGAGGCTGAGGCAGGAGAATCGCTTGAACCAGAGAGGTAGAGGTTACAGTGAGCTGAGATCGCGCCACTGCACTCCAGCCTGGACGACAGAGCGAGACTCCATCTCAAAAACAAACAACAACAACAAAAAATTAAATATTCAGTTCCTCGGTTTTACTTGCATCATTTCAAGTGCTCAAGAGCCAAATGTGGCTAGTGACTACCACACTGCAGAGCGAAGGTCTAAAACATCACCATCACTGTGGAAAGTTCTATTGGATAAATGCTGGTCTAATGACTAGAAAGGAAAAAAAGACAAAATTCTCATTTTTTGTGTAGAGTTATATACATAAATTCCAAAATATTATTAGAATATAAATTAATACAATTAACATAATAGATGTATTATTAGAATTAAAAATAATTTAGCAAGCTAACAAATCAATATATAAAAATCAGTTCTATCCCACTGAATATTTTCATTTTACCCTCACATTATCCTGGTTTTCCAAATGCAAGGCCCAGGGAGTGTGCAGAGACACGACCAGAATCACAGACCTCCCAGGTCTCCCCATGCCCTTACGCCCAGCTACTCTGCTCACACCTTACCTCGTTGTATAAATCGCTGAATTCCTCAACCACGTCCTTGGGGATCCTGCGGCCGTGGTTGGTAAGGTAGCAGGCCACGCCATTCTTGGAATAGAGGCTGATGCGGCCCACGCTGCGTTCCCCATCGGTTGTCTCTTCCAGGAGGCCGTTGGCTTCTGCTAGATGATAGATAGGGTTCCCATGGGAGCCATGGATCCAGGTGGCTCCCAGCTCAAAGGTGGCGTGTCCTGAGGGTGACAACAGCAGGCCCTTAGAGGCTTAGGGACTTCTCCAGAGAGGGCCAGCACTGCTTCCCCCTCCTTCCTCCAAGAGGGTCTTTCCACCCTACAACAGGGCAGGAAAGAGCTTGAACTTCCACTGCTGGCAACCAACGAAGGTCCTCAGTGAAAAGTTCCCACTGAAAACCACCTTATAGCTAAGATAACTGCCACCTTGGATGACTCTGTGATTTGTCCCAGAGTGGCCTTACTGGACCAGTTAGAAGGCTCTTCTTTTTCCGTCCCACCTTTTTCTCAGGTAACACCAGATATCAGACCCCACTTCCTCACTGGTGCCTCCTCACCGGGGAGAAGCACTGTGGGTACCTGAGGGTCCCCACCTGGCCTTTTTCAATTCTTCAACATCCCCAGTGGCTCCAAGATCTAAAGCATTTCCCAGACAGAAAATGGCTCCCTCCAAATTCAGCATAGGGCAGGAGAGAAGTCCAAACATCCCAGTTTGCAAGATTCCCCCAAAAAGCAATCTAAAGCACATTTCCAGGGAAAGTGAAGCCCTCTACATCCTTTGACACAGTACAAAAAACCCTGAGAGCCGGACTGGGGCAGGGGACATCTCGTGGGTCCAAGTTGGGATGGCCTGGGAACTAGGTCTACTACCCCATCCCCAGCCAAGGCATCATATACTCTGAGGCAAGTTGCCTCTGTGCCTGGGCCTCAGTTTCTTCTTCTGATGCTGCAGAAACTGTCTCCTTCTCCCATTCCTCCCCATCCCTACCTAGCTCCCAGGGAAGCCGAAACAATGAAAGGAAAATAGAAATTTTGGGGGGTGTTTCGTTTTGTTTTTGCAGGCCTGCTTCAAGATATATGTGGCACACTTTTTGCCAAGATAGTCACAATGATTCCTCCTATCTTTGTACACACACCCCTTTGCAACGTGACTTTGCCATTCCTCCCATGAGAAGGTGGAGTCTGTTTCCCTGCAGACACTCTTGTGTGTGCTGGGGAAAAGGGACAACTTTAGGTATGCCTTGCAGGAAATGCTGTAGGGGAAGACACTTAAGGTGATCAAAGTTTCTACAAGAGGCCCAGGCAGGTGGATCACCTGAGGTCAGGAGTTCAAGACCAGCCTGGCCAACATGGTGAAACGTTTGTCTCTACTAAAAATATAAAAATTAGCCAGACATGGTGGCACACACCTGTAATCCCAGCTACTTCGGAGGCTGAGGCGGGAGAATCTCTTGAATCCCAGAAGCAGAGGTTGCAGTGAACCAAGATCATGCCACTGCACTCCAGCCTGGGTGACAGAGTGAGACTCTGTCTCAAAAAAAAAAAAAAAAAAACTCCTCTAGAGGATCAATGTAGCCACACATTCCAGGCCATGTGTGGTCTCACTGGGTCATTTTCATGGTTTCTACCCACCCAACCCCTCAATGGTCAGAAACCATCCCCCCCCCACCCCCTCCCCCGCCAGTTGGGAAGCCCTGACCTAGGGATTTCAGGCAATTTTCCCATTCTCTGAGATCCCTGGCAAAGTCTGCCCACCCCTAGGGCAAGTCTCTTACCTGGCTGCTTTCTCCAGGGTCCTCATTGCTCTGCAACCTAGACAGATCCACTTCCCAGATAATCCCAAGACCTGCCCATCACACACATGGAGGCCCAAAATCCCCTTTCATCTCTGCTAACCCAGGATCCTACTGCTCCAGGGCTAGCTCTCAGTCATGTTATACTAATTCACAATTAGTATTCACAAAAAGTTAACAACTACTAGGACCTTGCAGAAGAATTTCACTTCTTGTGAAATAGAAACTTGCCCACTCAGTACCAAGAGAGCTTGGGTGTCCACTCCCTCCTAAACACTGTGAGCACTAGGTCAGAAGCAAGCCAGCATTCTCCACAAGTGAAAGTCAGGGCCCTACCATGCCCGCCTCAGAGGGCTGCCACGAGGAGCGAAGGAAGCTTCTGGAAAATGCCCAGGCAGGATGCATGATGGAACATTTATCCCAGAAGTTAAAATAATGAGATTTCAGGCAGAGCCGGGAATTAGGAGACTAAAGGTGACCTGGGGAGGTGGCTGGGCTGGACTGGGTGGCACTTACCAAGTTTCACACTCTGCACACGGCCTCCGATGTGGCTGGAAGCCTCAAGCACAGTGACATCCGTGAAACCCTGCTCAAGAAGTGCTTTGGCTGCAGCCAGGCCAGCCAAGCCGGCGCCGATCACCACCACACGAGGCTGTCCCCTTCTCCGTAGGCCGCGACTGAGAGGGTCATCCGCACTGTCACCACTGGATTCACAACTTTGCATACCGTCCGCGCTCACCTTCTAGGAACCTGCAGGGGGAGGAGGTGTCACAGCTTAGTGGCTCTGCCTTCACTTCCCACCTGCCCCAAGGGACACTCAGGGCTTTCATCACACTCTGCCCTCTGTTGTGGGTGGGGGGACCTGGAGTCCTCTCCCTCCCTCTCTGAGGACCTGGACAAGAAGAGCCACCTCCAAAGGGGCAGGGAGGGATGGAAGAATAAATAAGGGAAGGTGGCAGGAAGGGAGGAGAAAAGGAAGAAAGGGAAGGGAAGGAGAAAGTAAGGGAGGGATGCATTTTGGGTCCCCGCCAGCAGGCAGGAGACCTGGGAGCCCATCTTAAGCCCCTGAAATTCTCAATCCCACCCCCAAACTTGTTAGGCCCTGCTTCTTCCCTGACCACAGGCCCCAAAGTGGAGATGAGAGGCAGCCAGTGAGGAGATGACCAAGAAGGCCACAGTCAGGAGAGACTGGAGCTTGGGGCTGCTGATTCTGGACCAGCTCAGCATGGCATAACTGCTGTGGTCCACCTGGTGCCAATACCAGGAGGCTCACACAGACCCCGGATACTTGCCTGGACCCCAAGATACTCACACAGACCCCCCAGGATACTCACACAGACCCCAGGACACTTGCCTGGACCCCAAGATACTTGCATGGACCCCGGATACTTGCCTGGACCCGAAGATACTTGCATGGACCCCAAGATATTCACACAAACCTCAGGATACTCAACACAGATCCCAGGATACTTGCACACACAACCCTGGACCCTCTGCTCTCCCTCCTTTGCCTGGCTTTTCCCTGGCACTCTCTCTCTCTTTCCCTTGCCCCTTCTCTTGTCTCTGGCTTTCTGTTGGTCTTTCACAGCCTCACCGAAGTGGCAATTTGGTGGGCAGGACATAGTCCCGCCCTCCCCCAAGAAAGTGCCACGAGGCCTGCATCCAACAAGCCTGCTATTCCGGGTAGGTTGTTTTCCCAGCCACCCAGTCCCTCAGCCACCACAAAGCAGCAAGGAGCCCAGGAAACAGTGGACCAAGAGGACCCATGGCACCAGAGGCCAGACATGAAATTGACAGTTACACTAAGCCAGTTTGCTCAGAGACGCCAGACTAGGGGAGCTGATGGCTGGGAGGCCAAGGGGGTCCCCAAATCTGGCCCCAGGGCTAGGAGAGGCTGCTTTTCTCTTCCCAGAATGACCCGGAGGGTTTGGAGATATCTGGGGGCCACCCTGAGGAACCACTCAGCTCAGATGCTGTCCCTGTTCCTTCCCTGATTCAAGCAATTTAGATTCCAGTTGTCTTTGCTGGGGTTTAAGTGGCAAAAGTTGCAGAATCTAACAGTATCCAGGATCTAACAGGGAACAAATGTGGGCGGAAGGTGGCTGCCGGACAGCAAACAAGGGGCACTGTCACCCGTACCTAATAAAGCTGCGCATAACTGTTCCCATGACATAGCAATCCCACTCTTAAGAATACACCCAACAGAAAGAGGGCACATTCCACCAAAGACACAAGTTAAAGAGTGTGCACAGCACCTATATTCGTAACAGCCTGAAAATAAAAACACCCCACGGGTCTATCAGCAGGAGAACAGAGACATATGCGGTGCTGTACCTAGCATATCCATACCACGGACTATTCTTCAGCAGTAGACAGAACCCAAGTACTGACACTCCCAACCACACAGATGCACCTCAATCACGCACTGAGCAAAAGAAGCCAGAGACAAGGGCACGGACTGTATGACTTCATTCACACGAAGCTCAGGAAGAGGCAAACCCAATCTATGAAGCCAGAGGTCAGAAGAGAGGTTAGAAGGCAGGGAGATGACTGAAGGGGGCAGGAGGGGCCTTTCTGGGGTAGACGGAATAAATATCTTAATCTGAAGGGTGGGTACCCAGTGCACGTATGAAGATTCGCTGAGCTGCACAGTTGAGATATGTGTAATTCACTGTATGTATCTACATAGACCTCACTAACAAGATAGTCATTCCTGCCCTCCAATCAATCCGTCAAAGGCTGCCACACTGACTTTCTTCTCCATGCATTTCAGGGTCTGACCACTGAGGTTTCTATCCCACTTGGAACCGCAGCGTCCTTAACATCCCTTAAGTGACATGGGTGAACAAAGGAGGCTTTTTCCGAAATACGCTTAGGCTGAGAAGCTGCTCTTTGTGCCTCCCCCGCCCATTGCACCTGCCCCCGCGATGCCTGGGCCTGGACGGGAATCCTCCCTCCACCACCCCCCCTCCCACCCACCCACCCTCCAGCCCCTAAAATCCCTCCAAGTCCCCCTGAGACCCAGGCCCGCCAACTCCGTGCAGAATCGGTTCCCAAAAGGGCCGGTAGGTGGCGCCCGAGACCCGGAGCCACATCCGGGCAGCGTCCAGTTCGGAGGCAAGGGCTCCCGCTCCCCTTCCCAGACAGCGGGTGTCGCGCTTTCGCTGGGGATGAGGCCACGCCGGGAGCAGGGCGGCTCCGGCCCTTTCCTCCTCCCCGCCTCTGTCCTCTGACTCCCGTCCCTCTCCTCCCTCGCCCCAGAGATGCTAGGTCCTGCCTCCCTCCCGAGAGGACACGGATCAGGGCTGGCTCCAGTCCTCCCCCACCCTACCCCAGGTTCTCCTTCCTGCAAACTAAATTTAGAGGTGAGGATGTGGCCGCCTGCACGGGGCGGGCGGGGAGGGTCAGCGGCGATGCCGCCGGATGTCTGCCAGCCGGGCCGGGACGCTGCGTCAGGTCGGTAAACACGCGGCGTGCTCCGGAGGGGCCGCGCCAGCTGCGACGGGGACGCCGCCACCCTGGGCACCCTGGACTGACGTGGCGCCGCAACCCGCCCGGCGGGTCTGCCCCAGGCCACCCCACACACAGTCTCCTATCCACTACGGAAAGGGATGGCTGCAGTGGCTCTCACGCCTTACTGGTGGAACCCCTTCTTAAAAAGCTGCTATGGGGGTCAGGGTGTAGCAGGTATTAAACTGGGGGTCCCCCTCACCCCAGGCTCCCTGGAGCACCACCTCTGAAAACCAGGGGACCAGATAAGCTCCAGCGTTGGGAAGCCAGGATAGGGGAACAGCGCTCGGTGCCAGCAGGGCCGTCCCAGCCAGCTACCTGCCTTCCCTGCTCCCAGAGCCATGCATGGCCCGCTTGTCCTCACCGCTCCTTTGTGACCGTCAAATAAGGCCCTCCATGGATGTCACAAGACTGTCAACATTTTCAAGGGCCTCGTGCATGAAAATAATTTGTCAAGTGCAGAAGCTACATCATGAGCAGACTGTCTTTGGAACAAGCTGTGGAATGGACCGTGGAATGAATGCAGGCAGCCACTCTGCCTCCAAGATCAGCACAGAAAGAACCCCCAGCTCCCTGCACCTGGTCTCAGAGACTTTGAACTCAAACAGACATCGCACATGGAATGACACGCAAGTAAGCAGGGGCCACGTGAGTCCCCTGCATTCTGACCCTCACAGCTAATCCCACGGTCCTGTCCCTCCTCAGGCCCTGTCCCAGATAAGCCTGTCAATCCCCAATGCCTCCAGGAAGCCAGAGGAGCCCCCTACACAGCCCACAGAGGGCAGAGAAATGAGTCCGTCCTGTGGCCCTGATATCATCCCATGGAGCCAGCACACCCTGTGGTCCAACTGAAAGGGAGAGAGAGAACATAGCCAGGACACCTACTGTGTGCTAAATGCCTGCTGGGGAGTGGGGGCACTAAGGGGCAACTTGTTTTCTGTTGGTTTGTGTCATCGTTTCCTTTCCCTTCTGGGTTTTGTTTTGTTTTGTTTTAATGTATGAGAAACTGCCTTACTGAGGAAGGAGAATCACTTAAATGGTACTCGGTGCCTGCCCTGTCCTTCTCTCGCCTTGGGGAAAGAAAGAAAGAAATAACATCCGCTCCTTGATCTGTATGCACAGGAGAAACAGAACACCCTGTACTTTCTGAGCAGATAAAGGAGAGAAGAAAAAAGTGCTGGCTCAGCCAGGCAGGGAAGAGGAGGAGGGCGGGCAACAGACACTTGCCTTCTTGCTCCTGCTTCCATGGCAAAGTGGGGGTGTGAGCCTCTTGCCCAGCGCCTGCACCCACGCCTTGAGGTTATTCTCCATGTCCCCAAGCAGGCAATGCCTAGGAGTGCCAAGAAATCAGGCCAGCCAGGGCATGAGTGCACCCCCCGGTCCCCTGGCAATTTCATCCAAGATACCACGCAGCCAGTTCTCCAGCCTGCAGGCCACCGCCTCCCCCAGCTGTCCAGAGCCACCACCACCCTGACTGAAGTGTCCCAAGAGGCCACATTGGACACAGGAAGGCAGCAGGGTATGGAGAGAGGAAAAGAGGGAGGAAAAACCCCGTCCTGTGGCAGGGTTGCCAAAGACGGATGAATAGAATAAAGACTCAGAGGTCAGGTGACCAGAGTGGGCACGAGCCACCAAAGTTTGTGTGAACTGCCACTTCTTCATCCCATCCCTGGAACATCCTCCCCAATTTCATTTTGACACCCTCAGAAATTTACGCTCTAGTTGCAGTGAGCTGAGATGGCACCATGGTGCTCCAGCCTGGGCAACAGAGTGAGACCCTGTCTCAGAAAAAAAAAAGTGAAGAAATTTACACTCCAGCAAGTACCTTCTAATGGCCAAATACTAGAGAGACACGCGTTAGTCCTGGTCTCCAACGTCTGACCCTGCCAAGCCCCGCCTGGAAATGCCCAGAACTAAACAGGAGGCACCACCCAACTCCTGGCACTTTCCTCATTGAGGGCAAATTACAGGACCACCAAGCAGTCCCTAGGCTCAAATCTGGAGTCACCCTTAGTGGGAGACCCTCCTCATACATCGGGTCAAGCCATGGCAACTCCACAGCCTGAATCATGTCACCTCCACCCCCAACTGCGCCAGAAGCACCCCCCCACCCCGCCTCCTCTATGTGAGCCTCACCCATGCGGGTCTCAATCTCCCAGCCCCACCCTCCAAGGATAAGCACAGCTGGGCATCTCGCTGGCCAGGGAATATAATTTAGCAATTCACTGAGCACCTACTATGTAGCAGGCCTGGGGAAGATCTCTGCATGTCAGCCTTGCCCTCTGGACCCAGCTGGCCTTTCTAGCTTCAGTTCTCAATCACAACTCCCCGCCAAAACATACACACAGACCCCCAACTTCACCAAAAGTCTGGAGCCTCCCCAGCCCCGCCCACCTGAAGGCCTGCAGGAAACAGCCTCCCGCATACACATCAGAGAAGCTGGTTCTGGGTTCTCTTAGTATGCACGGCCTTGTGTGATTTCGGGGTGGGTGTTGCTCGAACCACCAGCAAGGCCTGCTCCGTTACTGTTTCCTGAAGCAACAGACACCCTTGAAATGTGAGTCCCTCGTACTGGTTCTGCACTGTCACCTGACCCCCAGCCTACCCCCAAAGCACAGGCATCTCACCCCAGGAAATTCTGTTGTCTGTTATCTCAAGAATGAGGCTGAAGCCCCACAGCCACAGGGCAGGGCTGAGGTCCCAGGCTAGACTGGCGAGCCCCTGCCCAAGGTGAGCGCGGCCAAACCCTGTGAGTGAACCACAGTGGAATCAATCACCCAGCTGGGTGTGCAGTGCCCTTTCTTTAACATTGAAGCCCACCTCAGCATCACCCAAAAATCAGCACATCACTCCCTCTCCAAGAGTGGCTACTGAAACAAAACAGTGCCAGGAGAGGCCAGCCTCCCGTACCCCACACCCTTCCAAGACGCCCCTCACAAGAGATAAAAATCTGGCCAGGTGTGGCCAGAGCTATTACAGGTGGTTCATGCCTGTAATCGCGGCACTTTGGGAGGCAAGGTGGGAGGATCACTTGAGCTCAGGAGTTAAGAGACCAGCCTGGACAACATAGTGAGACCTAGTTTCTACTAAAAATTAAAAATTGCAAACATATTCAGACTGTCTGAAACATAAACAAAAAAATAAAAATTAAAAAATTAGCCAGTTGTGGTGAAATGTACCTGTAGCCCCAGCTACACTGGAGACCGAGGAAGAAGGATGGCTTGAGCCTGGGAGTTCAAGGTTGCAATGAGCTATGATAGCACCACAGCACTCTAGTCTGGGCGACAGAGCAAGACCCTGTCTCTAAAATAAAATAACATAAAATAAAATAAAATAAAATAAAATAAAATAAAATAAAATAAAATAAAATAAAATAAAATAAAATAGAGCATTAATTTTAAAAAGAGAGAGAGAGCCAGGCATGGTGCCTCAAGCCTGTAATCCCAGCACTTGGGGAGGCCGAGGCGGGCGGATCACTTGAGGCCAGGAGCTCAAGACCAGCCTGGCCAACATGGTGAAACCCTGTCTCTACTAAAAATACAAAAATTAGCCAAGCGTGGTGGCGGGTGCCTGTAATCCCAGCTACTCGGGAGGCTGAGGCAGGAGAATCGCTTGAACCCAGGAGGCAGAGGGTGCAGTGAGTCGAGATCGCGCCACTGCACTCCAGCCTGGGTGACAGAGCGAGACTCCGTCTCAAAAAAAAAAAAAAGAGAGAGAGAGAGACAAAACTCCTACCCATCTCTGGCCCCCTCCGAACACAGGCTATTCCCAAGTGTGCCTGAGCCCTGCCTTTTTCTCAAGGTCACCCGGGGATGAATTTCCTAATCCGCTTCCCAGAGAAGAAGAGTGAGGCTCCCAGGAAATTGGCCCACCTGGCTCACTTTGCCTGGCTCCCCTTGGGGCCCAGGACTCCACCAGCTGAAGTGCCCCAAAACAGACCCAGCCTTCCACCAGCCTCCTCCCTCCTCCAACCGCACATCTGCTCATGAGACCTGTTCAGGGCTGTGGTGCCCTCGGCAGCAGGGGACAGCTCACTTGCCCCCGACCAGCCTTGGGGACTTTAAACCTCTCTTCCCAATGGAGACTTCTGGTCCCTGAGGGCAGCAGCCCCACCTCAGTTCCCCATGCCCCCTCCCCACCCCCCCACCCCTACCCCGCTCTTTCTCAGGTTTCTAACAGGAGGAGAGGGAGTGGGAGGGAAGCTGGGGAGCTGCTCCAGGGGCACATCTTTGGACTGCCTGGAAGTCTGGGGAGGGATTTGGATTCTTGAGGCCCCCCAGACAATGCAATTATTCTTCAAATGTAAAAACGCCCAGAAATCCCAGACCAGCTGCTTTGCACAACGGCCCAGACAAAGGGGCTCTGTGTCTGCGGTGAGGCTCCTCCCACCCCTCAACCAGGGAGGGGCTGGGCCCCAACTCCTCCCAGCCAGACCCTCCCCAGCCTCCTCACTCAGGCTGGCCAGGAAGTAAAAGGACTGCTGGGCCAGGCTGGGCTGCCACGGTGGGAGAATCGGGGTACAGGTGTGGGGAACAGAGCAGGGGCAGCTCATGAACCCAGGAGACAGAAGAGGAGGGAGAGAACACTGGCCCAGACCTGGGAATCAGGCCCCAGCTCAATCTCTACCTTGCCAGGTGACCCCTGGGCCAGTGTCTTCCCTTCTCCAGGCCCCACTTGGCCAACACCTCTGAACTCACTCCAAGGACGCACCCTCTGTACCCCACTACCTGGGCACACTTGTCCAAGCCCTATCTGATATTTAAAGGCTCACTTTGGTCTTCAAGCTTTCCCATCCGTAAAATGGGGATAGGTACAGCCGACTTGTAGGAATATTAAATTAGCACAGGTAAAAGGTGTGGCCACTGCAAAGGTCATCTCGGAGAGGGCGGGAGAGGGAGGAAGATCCCCAAAGAGACCAGTACAGAAGTCACCTTTCCTAGGGCCCAGAGCTCTGTCTCACTTATAGAAGAACCCCAATCTTCATCTGAGCTCAGAACCCAGCCTTCACCTTGGCCCCAACCCTACTATCAGGCTGGACCTTGACACTGACATCATGCAGGCACCTCACATCTGTATCTGACTGACCCCAACCCAATACTGACTCGGCCTGAGCCCCTCAATCCTGACTCAGCCTGACCATCCTCCCCATTGTTGAGGGGAAGGGGCATCAGAGGTGGTGGCCATTAGCCAGCTCCAAGCTCATGAAAGGGAAAAGCTTGGGAGCCTCTTTCAGCAGAGCCCCCGCCCCCAGCAATGTCCCCTGGCCCTCACAGGCCAAAAACAGGGAAGGCCTCCATCATCCTGCCTGGCACCCAGACTTCTTTCCAATTACATTGTCATTGCTACCCACATTTCTTCCCTAAAATCATAAAGTCCCTAAAAGCACAACTTTAAAAAGGCTTTGTAAGCGAATTTCAGATGAGAAGAAGGGAGCCAGGGGGCCTTGGCAGGCATGTGTTGCAAGGAGAAGCAGCCATTGATTCAGTGCATGGAGGGACAGAGCCAAAGACACGGCCCCCACAGGCACTGGGAGGCAAGAGCGGGAGGCCCCCGGGAGAGGTGAGCACTCTGGGGCCATCTCTGTTTCCCTTGGTGTCCTGCATACCACCGAGGTTCATTGTTTCAGGACCCTTTTGCCTGGGAGGCATAAGGTGATTTTATAGCTCCCTGTAGGGGCAGACCCAGGAGACTACTCAACTAGAAACCTAACTGGGGGTGGAGGAGGGGAAGAAAGCTCAGAAAGAAGCCAGAGAGGCTGGGAGGGCACAGTGGCTCACACCTGTAATTCCAGCACTTTGGGAGGCCAAGGCAGGAGGATTGCTTCAGTCTAGGAAGTCGAGGCTACAGTGAACCATGATCACACCACTGCACTCCAGCCTGGGAGACAGAGCAAGACCTTGTCTCAAAAAAAAGAAGTCAGACAAAGGGCAGGGTCTTTCCGAAAGCTCACTGAGGGCCTTGATGACAGTATCAGAGAGAGACACAGGTAGAGATGGGCCAGAACAGAGCTTGGTACTGCAGTTACTTCCCCAGGCCACACCCCTGCAGCTTCATCCCAAGCCTCACCCTATAGGTCCCACCTTCAGCAAAAATTAGCAACTCGATCACACTCTGACAATAGATCACACTCTGACAATAGATCACACTCTGACAACAGATTAGATCAGGCGCTAGGCACAATTGCTCTGAACACCTCCTGTGAACTTTTCAAGCTCTGGGCCAGCCCCACCAGCTAAGTTTCCACCTCCAGGTTTCTCACACCCCATGCCTTGCTTCCCATCTTTGTGTATGTCTATCTGCAGATGTCCCTGGCTTGCCAGATAGATAGTCACCTCTCAGCAGGCAGAACCCACATTCTTCCCCTCAGATTCCAGATCTTGCAGAGGTAGGCAAGCTCCATGCCCCCTCAGCAACCAGAGATCTGCTGGGAGGACTATGCCACTCCAGATGTTCCTAGAGAAGATGAACTGCCCAGCAGCAGCCTCTGCCACTAACCAGTGTGGCCTTGGGAGAGTCTGTTAGCACTTGAACCTCATTTTCCCCATTTGTCAAATGGGGAAAATCACCCCTACCCTGAGAGAGGCCAGCCCTGACTCCTGAACCTATTCACCAGCCTCCTGTATCCCCAGCAAAGTCTACTGCAGCTCCCTTTAGTGGCCCTTAGGATAAGACCCCATGGTCTGGATTCCCTCCCTGTGAGCAGGACCTAACATCCCAACTCTGAATTCCCCTCCAGGAAGTCATCAACCACAAAGGTGTAAGAAAGACCAGGCCCAGAACAGTGGCTCATGCCTGTAATTCCAGTGCTTTAGGAAGCTGACGTGGGAGGATTGCTTGAGGTCAGGAGGTTGAGACCAGCCTGGGCAACATAGCAAGACCCTATCTCTCCAAAAATAAAAATGTAAAAGTTAGCTAGGGCCGGGTGCGGTGGCTCAGGCCTGTAATCCCAGCACTTTGGGAGGCCAAGGCGGGCGGATCATGAGGTCAGGAGTTCGAGACCAGCCTGGCCAACATGGTGAAAACCCGTCTCTACTAAAAATACAAAAATTAGCCAGGTGTGGTGGCACGTGCCTGTTAATCCCAGCTACTTAGGAGGCTGAGGCAGGAGAATCACTTGAACCTCGGAGGCGGAGGTTGCAGTGAGCCAAGATCACCCCACTGCACTCTAGCCTGGACAACAGAGCGAGACTCTGTCTCAAAAAAAAAAAAAAAAAAAAAAACAACTTAGCTAAGGCATGGTGATGCACAACTGGAGTCCCAGCTACTCCAAAGGCTAAGGTGGGAGGATCACCTGAGCCCAGGTGTGTAAGGCTGCAATGAGCCATGATCATGCCACTGTACTCCACTATGGGCGACCTTGTCTCTAAAGAAAAAAACACCACAGAGCCGGTCACTGCCCTGGTGAATACGTTGGTGCAAGACTGCCCTTGGTAACAGCAGACCAGGCCACTGGCAGGGGAGGGCCAACAGGCGATGGTGCTCACAGCTGCCCGCTTCCTTAGAAAAAAAGTCTCCTGACACAGCCGAAACCCAGAGAGGGAATACTAGCTTCAACACCAAGGTATCAGCCCTGTTTTGAGGCACCCAAGTCACCACAGCCTTCGGCGAACCCCAGGAAGAGACACTTCTCTTACACACACACACACACAAATCATGAAAGCATATTTCCTTATGTTTCATTTGACGACCCAACTTAATAAATAGTCCTATCCTTTGGGAACACCTTATAGTACCACAGCTTTCACACAGGTCCTGGGGTCTGACGCTGGCTTTGAATACCAGTCATTTGAATCCCCACCACTTATTAGATGAGTGATCTAAGCCTCAGTTTCCTCATCAGTAAAATGGGGATAAAGTGTGCCTGCCCCACAGAGGTGTGTGACAACGCATGCAGATGGCTTATCCCAGAGCCAGATGTGTAGCAGCAATAGTCCTTATGTTTTCCTACAGGCCCCAGTCTGCACACTAGTGGTAGTCACTGCAGGGAAGATCGGGCCGGGTGACAGGCAGGGGTGGGGATGAAGGAAGCCCAGCCAGTAGACAGATCACAGATCCCCCTGCAGAATGATTCCAGAGCAGGGCCCCAGGCCTCAGAGAGAGCCACCCTACCCCACAGAGACACTGTTATGGAATGACAATGGGAAGAACAGGGGATCAGGATAGAAGGGTCACCCCACTATCCTACTTGGTAGGGGTGCTTGGAGCTCCCAGGCTAGGGTTGTGAAGCTGCAGGTGCAACAACAGGACAATTTATGTGGCCACCAGCCTCTAAGATGCCCCTCAATGATCCCTACCTCCTGGGATTCGTGCCTTGGTGTAGTTCTCTCCCAAGCTGACCATTGCAGCTAACAGGATATTGCAGAAATGATGGAATGTTACTTCTGAAAGTAGACATAAAAGACACTGTGGCTTCCACCTTGCTCCCTTGGGCAGCTTACTCTGGGAGAAGCCAGTCACCATGTGGGGAGGACACTCAAGCAACCCTGGGGCAGCCCACAGGGCACGGAACTGAGCCCTCCCATCAACAGCCAAACCATCCTGCCAAGCATGTGAGCACACCATCTTGGAAGCAAATCCTCCTGCTCCCTTCAGATGACTGCAGCGCTGGCTGACACTGTGACTGCAACCTCACTAGAGACCCCGAGCCAGAACCACCCAACTAAACTGCTACCAAATTCCCAACCTACAGAAACTGTGAGCATAATAAATGCTGACTGCCATTTTAAGCTACCAGTTTTGGAGTCATTGGTTAGCCAACAATAGGTAACTAAGAGTCAGCATCTCTCTCTCCCCAGAGACTCCCCAGAGTGGAAGTCCCCAGGTAAACACTCCCCCAACCAACCCCTCTCAGGGCCTCAGACCCCGCTGTTCTGAAATGCAGAGCTAGGATGAAGTGGGCAGGGAGCCTGGCCCAGGCCCTACAGCTTATAAGGCCCAAGAGACAGGAACTTCTCCCAACCAGTACATTAGACTCACCTGGAGATTTTTACAAATAACCCCTACCTATACCAGGTCATCTAAATTAGACTCTCTGGGGTGGGGCCCAACCATGTATTTTTTTTTTTTTTTAGGGACCTACATGATGCCAATGTACAGCCAAGGCTCAGGTTCCAGTTGCAGCCTCCTGGCCAGCCCACAGCCACTGAGGTCTGACAGTGCCGGAGAGGAAGAGGCAGAGACAGCCACAAGGCCAGGCAGTGCCCAAGCTCCCTCCACCCTGGGCTTAGGCTTGGGTCTCCCTCCACCCCGCTGCTGCCCAGCTCCCAAAGCCCTCTGCTCTCCAGGCATACAAAGCACCTCAGGCCACACAGATGTCCTTGCCCAACCTTGCTCACACACCGACACACACAGCCGCATCCTCCCCGTCTTTCTCTCTGCATCTCAACACCCTCTGCAGGTCCAACCTCTGCGCTGGGACTGCTCCCTTGGAGGACAGGAGCCAGGAAGCAGGAATGGGGTCTAGCTCTGAGTGATCTTGGAAAGACCGTTTCCTCATCCGCAAAATGGGAATGACCATCACATCTGTTCTGCTCTCTGCTGGGTCCAAGCCTCCTCATCAGAAGTCCTTAGAGAGACCTATATTTGTATGTTTTGTCTCCCCCAAGATGCACCCTTGCCTGGCCCTGCATCAGCCCCTGGAGATTCCGCAGCAATGGATTCAAGAGACAGGGCCCCCTGCCCTGAGGCTCACAGCCAGTGAACTCAAAGGTACAGAAATAAGGATCATGAAGAATTCAAGAGACAATGGGAAGGAAGACCTAATGGAGGGTGGAAGAGGGGGTGGAAATTCCCAGGAGAGAGAAGTGAGCTCCACGCAGGGAAACTGCACGTGCAGAGGCTCAGAGGCACTGCTAACAGTATCATCTCTCAACGTGTGATTCCAACACTGTCCCTTTTCTCTCTCTCCGGGAACTCACCTGGACTGGCTTGGAATCCCCTGGTCCCACACTATGCACTCTCCTGAGCTTCCTCCCATGACTGTGGCAGCCGCCTCACCCCGCCCTGGGAGTTGGGAGTCGGGAGTGGGGAGTGGGGAAGCCTTCCAGCGTCAGGTGGGGAGAACACACCTCCCGCCTCCGCTCAGGGCCTGCCCCAGCCCCACCCGGGCCGCCCTGCGCTTCCTGGGCAAGTCAGCCATGCAGGTTGGCTCCCCGAGGCACCCTGGGGAAGGGCAGGAGGCACACCTGCCAGGAGGCACACGACCTGCCGCCCAAGGCACCAGGAAGGGGGCGGGGCAGGCACAGGCGCTGGAGACACACAGGCCCTGCCACCCGGTGGCTGCCGCCGTGAGTGGGAGTCTGGATGGGCACCGGGCAGGCGGGGGGCACGTTCCCGGCCTAGGGTGGGACCAGTGCTAAGGAGACTGGAGAAAAGCACAGACAGGGTTTGTGAGTGAGCCCTAAGGCAGGGACGGGAGTAGCAGGGGACAGATTTTTCGTTCATTCAAAAAGGTTTCTGGAGGGCTACCTGTGCCAGGCACTGTCCGAGGCACTGGGGATACTGCAACACCCAGACGCCTCCCCTTAAGGATCTGTCAGGTCAGGGAAAAGCAGGGCGGGGAGACAGGAAACTAACTGCTTGCACAGGGGCGTCAGGGAAGGCCTCCTGCCAAGGCAACTCTGCGGCAGAGGAGGTGCAGTGCTGTGTCAACCTCCTGGGGACTTGCTGAATGGCAGGATGTGGGGTGAGGGCAAGGGCCACATCAGCATGACCTGGGTGACCAGGCATGACACCGCTGGGACAAACCCAGACCAGTTCTAACTGTGTCAACTGGTCATCATCTTTGCCCTTCACAACAAGCTGATGGGGTCAGAAAAATGACAGAAGCCAAATACCTCAGTGCAGGACTGCAGAGGGGAGGTCAGCCCAGGGGTCTGATTATTAAGCCCAGTTCTCTCCTCCGGGCTATCAGCAGGGTTGGGAGAGCTTCTCCAAGCCGCCTGCCATCACAGGGCCAGGCACACCCCCAAACACAGCCCCCTGCATGAGGCATCACCTGCAGGCACGGCCCTGACGTGAGTCAGTGTCCCCAGCACCACCCAGCACAGAGATCCACCCATTCTGCAGCCTGGGCACTTGACACCTGGGAGGTGTGAGCTGGCAGCTGAGGGGGTGGCTTCCCGGTGGGGCTTCTCCCCTATCCCTGCCAGGAGCCGCAGCCTCACAATTCTGGGGTGAAGGAGAACAGCTCAGTCAGCACTTTCCGCTGACTCTTTCAAAACCACTTACAAGAACTGAGGCCTGTGAGCTCAGCCGGGCGCAGTTCCCCCTCAGCGGCCCCTCGTGACTCTGCACAAAGCCCAACTGTGCTTCAGCTCCAGCCCCGGGGAGGGGGTGGGGTCTCCGGCAAGCCCATCCTGCCTCCTGAGCCACAGGGTCCCACTCTGCCCAGCCTGGGACCTGTGCTTTCTGCCCACAAAGAGACACGACAGCCCCAGTGTCAGAGCTGTCTGAGCCGTGCTGGATCCAGGCAGCCTTCCTCCCTGAAGGTGGAGACGGGCCTTCCTCCACTGTAAACCCTTTTCCAGCACAAATACCTCTCTTATGGTGTCCACACAACGTAATTTATCATAGAGCCAAGGTGGCATGCATGATCACAAAACGAAAAAAGGAAAATATCCAAAGAAAAATCGAGTCACCAGATGAACCTCACAGCAAACCTCTATTTTGCCCCTCCTGTGCCAGGCCCTTTGCTGGGCACTTTCCATTCACTGCATCCTTTAATACTCATAAACTCTCTGCTGCCCATTTTACAGATGAGGAAACAGGCCCCAAGAGGTTCAGAGGCATGACAGACGCCACCTGGATGGAGTGAGGGGCAGGGCAGGGCAACACTGCTCAATCCCTGCTCCGACCTCAGGCCCCCCTACTCAGCCTCCCCAGGGGTGCGGCAGGCCCGAGGACTGCCCTGGCTCAACGATTCTCCCATCTTACTCCTCCCCACATACTGATATGCACACACTGTGCCAGGCACTTGGGGCTGGCAGGAGTCATCTCAAGGCCTGATGGTTCACTCCAGCTTCACTGCCAAAGCCTGGGGCTGCCACCGGGAAGCTACCTGCTTTCTGGCCTGGGCGCTTAGTGGGGTCCCTGCAGGTCACCCTGGTCTCCCTGCCCCATGCAGCTGGATTAGGCTTGCCAGGCACTAAACTAGCCAGGCCTCAGTCCTTCACCCTCGATCTCCTCCTCCATAAATAGGGCCAGGGACAAGTTCTAATTGCATTGGCCAGCACAAAAGAAAATTCAAAAAGCAAGTAACTCATAACTGCCTCTAGACGGTCCTCGATCACTGGCCCGAGACCTTCCCCTCCTGGTGACTTCAGGGTACATTAACTGTGCTCTCCTAAGAAGACCACAGGATTAACCAATAAAGCACTTTCCATAGAATTCAACCATGAAGCACAGTCCCCCACCCACGCGAGGGCTGGAACCAGGTCTCAAAAGCCACTGGGGTTCATTTCAGAATGCACACAGGGGCCATGCGCCCATGATTTCATCCATAAGACCCCTATGAAGTGGAGACGCTGAGTTTGGACATAAACATATTCTTTAGGCCCTTTTGTGGAGTTCAAAGAGAGAATAACTCACTAGCTTTTGAAGCATCAAGAAAGGTCTGTTCTTAAAATCCTATCATCATTGTTATCACTCTATTTTTAGCTGAATACACCTGAGATACAGAGTGCAGTGCCAAGCATTTTGTGTGGAATACCTCAATCCTCACATCAATACCCCCATAGTACAGAGGAGGCAACTGAGATTCAGAGAGGTTCCACAGCCTGCTATCAGCCTGCCTCTAAATTTTACTTAGTAATATATTAAGCCTCAGGCCTTGCTCTTTTTAAAATCTAATGAAGAAGCAGCTGGGCGCAGTGGCTCACACCTGTAATCTCAGCACTTTGGGAGGTCGAAGTGGGCGGATCACTTGAAGTCAGGAGTTTGAGACCAGCCTGGCCAACATAGTGAAACCCCGTCTCCACTAAAAATACCAAAATTAGCCGGGCGTGGTGGCAGGCACCTGTAATCCTAGCTACTTGGGAGGCTAAGGCAGGAGAATCGCTTGAACCCAGGGGGCAGAGGTTGCAGTGAGCCAAGATCGCGCCATTGCACTCCAAGAGTGAAACTCTGTCTCAAAAACAAAAAAAAATCTAATGAAGAAGTCAAGTTCATTATCTTTCCTTGAGTTACTTTTTAAACTCCAAACCTTTTCAGATTAACTCTCAAGGTTTTGCATTGTGTATGATTTTTTTTTTTTAATTTTCCAAAATAAGAGAGAGTAAAAGGTCCCTGTGTGTTTAACATTTAAAGGCATCATTTAAAAATATTTCCTAAGAATATATGCCCCTTGGTGGTGCTGGGTGTCTCCTGCTTGAGTCATCCTAAAATCTAGCCAACTCAGCCTGCAAGGAGTATCACCACCACCCGCCAGGATCAGAGGTGCGCTGGCTGAGCTGGGCTGTCCCGGAGATCTGGTTATGGGTGGGGAGCAGTTGAAGGTATGAGGACAGGCTCTGAGAGAGCCATGGGGTTGACGAAAGGGCATCGAGACAGATGTCCCAGAAACTGAGTGAGACCCATCATGCCTCACTCAGGCCCCCGGGGCTGCATGGGGAAGACAGGACCCATGTGTCTGCCAGGGCCTAGCACAGAGTTGGCAGGGGTGGCTAGATTCTTTGTTCTGTTTTCTAATAAATTGCAACTCACTTCCAAGTTCTTGTTCTTCTGACTTTAAGTCACACCTTCCTTAATGCCGTCCCTCAAGAAGCAGGTGGAGAAGAAGGGAATCTGGACTAAGGGGTGCTGCAATGCCCCCAGCTAGGCCACCATGCTCCACCTGAATCCAGATGCTTTTCCTCATCCTCCAACCTCCCAGCCCCAGATTTAGAGAGCACTGGGCTCCTACATGCTTGAGGAAGAAAGACAAAGGGGCAAAGGAGGACAAGAGAGGGGAGCTAGGGCTGGGTAGGAAAATCCACTGAGCATGCCCCACCAGGGCCTTCGGGTCAGGTCGGAGGGCCAATGTTGCCCCACGCACCACCGTAGCTCCTCCTGGGTATTTAAAATACCACACCCCGACCGGCGCTGTGGCTCACACCTGTCATCCCAGCACTTTGGGAGGCCAAGGCGGGCGGATCACGAGGTCAGGAGATCGAGACCATCCTGGCTAACAAGGTGAAACACCATCTCTACTAAAAATACAAAAAATTAGCCGGGCGTGGTGGCGGGCGCCTGTAGTCCCAGCTACTCGGGAGGCTGAGGCAGGAGAATGGCGTGAACCCGGGAGGCGGAGGTTGCAGTGAGCCGAGATCGCGCCGCTGCACTCCAGCCTGGGCGACAGAGCGAGACTCCAACTCAAAAAAAATAAAAAATAAAAAATACCACAGCCCATCTCCCCCACCTGAGCTGCTGAACAAAGAGCCTCACACCACAGAGGAAAGGAGGTGTGGCAGAGGCGAGGCAGGGTAGCCTCACTGACTGCCCTGAGAGTCTGAGAATGAGGGTCACGTCCGCAACTTGGCCCCTCCCCCAGCTTCATGTCCATGAAGGGGCACAGCACCGCCCCCTCCCACAGCCCACCATCACTCACACCCTGCCTCATGTCTCACTAATGCACTGCTCTGATCACATCACTGCCCTGCTCAAAACCTTCTGTGGGCTGCCACAGCCCAGTGAACGAAGGTAGTCCCTGATGCCTCCTCCCTGCCCGCAGGCCACTTGTCCCCTACACACACCCACCAGGATCCTCTGACTCTCAGACTCAAACCTGTGACTTCTCATTCTGTCCAGATCTCCCCACCTAACTGGCCATTCCTCCAGGAAGCCAGTCCTGCTAGCTACCCACACCCTCTTTCTTCTCCTCTGCAGGCTACTCTGGTCTAACCAGGACCCCAACCTAAGCCTTGTGCCGCTTTCTGCTGGCTCTTGCTTTCTTCCCTCATGTCCACGATGACAGGGCCCTCCCCAGGGTCCCTCCTCCAGCCATGTCAAATCCAGTAGTAAGAGCAGCCAACCGGTATTAGAGTGTCAC